>NC_000011.10:32938787-33090303 GCF_000001405.40 Homo sapiens | reverse complement strand
CTGAAATTGTCAGTGCCTTATATCTTATATCTGGTGGGCAAGATGGAGGGAGTGTGGAGGGAAGAAAAACAAAAGAAAATCTGAATGTCATCTTAGGTATTACTTTTTTTTCCTAATAGTTCTTATCAAATTGATAAATATGTTTTGACAGATCTTAAACCAAATGTAGTTCCTGTTGCATATTTTGTAAGATATAATGAAGAAATATTACAGCTTGTTAAATCCATAAAGTTCCTTGAGGGATTTGTATTCTTAAAACAGTGCTCCTTCAGTGGCCTTTGGGGGAATTAGCTCATCTATGAATAGAACTCTTCTATACAGACTACTGAGTCATAAGAAAACAAATCTGGCACCTGAACCTGTTCAGGCCACAGGGAGAGATTAATATTTACAAAGCCCCAGTAACAGCCCTTGCTGATAAAACCACTGTTATATCATCTCTTAATCTTTCTGTGACATGTGAACAAAGACTAAGATGGAAATTCACAGAGAAGTCCTTGGTTGATCTCTTTAAGCCAACCACCATTAGGATGTTCCTGACCATCATTCTCCTTTTCCTCACTGCCCTCTTTTAGCCTGGGTCTTGCTCTGTCTGATCCAGATAAAATATTTTGAGAAAAAACTACCCATAATTGATATTCAGACATTTTTGTTAATGGAAGCCCTATTTCTGTGCCAGATGCAGATTCCTGGTATGAACCATAGGATTACTGCTCAGGGATAAGTAGTTTCTGCTTCTAGTTTTAACTACTTCTCAATGAAAAGTCAAAGATAGTTTAAGACTACAGTAAATCCTCATTTAACATCATTGATAGGTTCTTAGAAACTTTGACTTTAAGCTAAATGATACACAGCGGGTCCTCAAATAACTTTTTTGTGTTTAACATGGTTTTGTTATAACCTTGATAAGAAAAAAATTGGTTTTCCTATACATCGTTTCTGTCTTTTTTTTTTTTTTTGAGATGGTCTCACTCTGTTGCCCAGGCTGGAGTGCAATGGTGAGATCATGGCTCACTGCAGCCTTGATCTCCCTGGGCTCAGGTGATCTCCTGTTCAGCCTCCCAAGTAGTTGGGATTACAGGCAAATGCCACCACATCTGGCTAATTTGTGTATTTTTTTGTGGAGATGGGGTTTCACCATGTTGCCCAGGCTGGCCTCAAACTCCTAGGCTCAAGGAATCCACTTGCCTTGGCCTCCCAAAGTGCTGGGATTACAGGCAGCAGCCAACACGCCTAGCCCATCATTTCTCTAAAAGTTGCAGTTTCCTAGAACCTATACAATGTTAAGTGAGGGACTTACTGTACTTTGTGCAATTGCTAGAAAAAGCTATTTCAACTTTTCCAAGATGAAAATGAAAATTAAGGCAGTTAATTAAAATAAAGATCTGCCAGGCACAGTGGCTCACGCCTATAATCCCAACACTTTGGGAGGCTGAGGCAGGCGATCACTTGAGCCCAGGAGTTCAAGACCAGCCTGGGAAACATGATGAAATCCCATCTCTACCAAAAAAAGAGAGAAAAATACAAAAATTAGCCAGGTGTGGTGGCGCCTGCCTGTGGTCCCAGCTATTCGGGAGGCCAAGGTGAGCCCAGGAGGGAAGCTGAGCCTACTTTAGTGAGCCGTGATCAAGCCACTGCACTCCTGACTGGGTGACAGAGTGAGACCCTGTCTTAAAAAAATAAAATAAAAAATAAAAATAAACAGAAAAGAAAGATCTTATAGTGGCCAGGTGTGGTGGCTCACACCTGTAATCCCAGCACTTTGGGAGGCCAAGGTGGGTGGATCACCTGAGGTCAGGAGTTTGAGACCAGCCTGGCCAACATGGTGAAACCCCGTCTCTACTAAAATACAAAAATTGGCCGGGCTTGGTGGCGGGCATCTGTAATCCCAGCTACTCAGGAGGCTGAGGCAGGAGAATTGCTTGAACCCAGGAGGTTGTAGTGAGCCAAGATAGCACCACTGTACTCCAGCCTGGGTGACAGAGTGAGACTCTGTCTCAAAAAAAAAAAAAAAGAGAGTAAGTATTCAGGAGTAGAACTACTTCCTGAATATGATGTTTTCCATCTTGTATTTCTATTTCTACTCTTTTGTTTTTTGGGGAAGGATTAATGTGCTTCTGTGTTTAACGGTGGGTGGTATGGTATGTATGTATCTGTGAGAAAGATTTTTAAAAAGCGATACCCAATGTGTCTACCATTTAGATTTGCTTATATAATTAATACCAGATGTCACCAACTCCATTTCAACAAATTTTGAGAAAGTGGAATGCTTTTATATCCCTTGATGGCGGCAAAAAGGGGTTCTTTTGTTTCTAGACAGACAGAGTAACACTGGGTTGTCTGGAGCAGAGGAGCTCCTCTGAGATAGGGCCTCTGTTCATAGGTGACTGTATTGCTTCCTTTGGCATATCTTGTCTCAGCCCTGGCAGGGCAATGCTAGTGTACTGAAAAGAAGACTGTGGATGGATTTGAGGTCAGAGAGGCCTGCCCTCCCAATCCTCCTCTCTCTACTTCTTATTAGCTGTGTGACCTGGGAAATATCAAAACCTTTGTGAGCTTCAGTCCCTTCTATATAATGGAGATGTTACTATTTCCCTCATTAAAAACAGAATGGCTAAAATTGCCTGATGAATAGTGTCTGCTCAGTAAATATTCCTTGTCCCCTGTAATAAATAGTACATTGGAAATAATTTTTCATTGCATTAGCAAAATCTTAACCGGTGTGATGCCTTCACAAAACAGGAAGTCACTTAATCCAGCTTCTTCATTTAATGAAACTGGTGTTCAATTCTAATGGAAGGGAGGTGTCAGAAGATCTAAAATCTTGAATTTTCCTCCAAATTATCCTGGCCTCTACTTGGTTCCCAGTCTGACTACCCAAAAAAGCTTGTATCTGTCCTACAAATGTCCTGCCTGGCAACACTAAGTTTAATGACTTGTAACTTGTGTGGGGTAAAGTTATGATACACTGAGTCTTAGAACCAAATAGCTTTCCTTGTTGAGTAACAATCTTTACCATCATTAGAGTCCTTGCTTATCCGTCTCCATTTTCTTTCTGTGGTTTTGACCCAGATATTCACACTGTATCCTCAAGGTTATTGCATGATTATTCTCTAGTAGTCCCTTTTTCAGGTTTAGGATTCTTCTGTTCTGCATTTTCAGGATGTCTCCCGTGCTAAGCTAGCAGCTATAATTCCGGACCCAGTTGTAGCTCCTTCTATAGTGCCTGTTCTGAAAGATGAAGTGGATAGAAAACCAGAATACCCTAAACCAGACACTCAGCAGATGATTCCATTTCAGCCACGACATTTAGCACGTAAGCCATGACTTTAGATCCAGTACTGAGACGTTGGTTTGTTTGTTGATTTAAATCCAAAGCGTGGGGGTAAAGTGACATGGCCTCTCAATTGTGGGTTAATTATTAGACTTAGGATCACTATGACAAGTGATTTAGCTTTAATCTTTGAACTAGATTAACTAAGAATGTCCTAAAAACAAAACTTCAATGATCCAGATTCCAGGAACCCATTTTGGCAGTAATACTTGGTTTTCAGAAATGCTGCTATGGCCAGGTGCAGTGGTTTACACTTATAATCCTGGCACTTTGGGAGGCCAAGGCAGGTGGATCACCTGAGGTCAGGAGTTTGAGACCAGCCTGACTAACATGGTGAAACTTTGTCTTTATTAAAAATACAAAAATTTTCTGGGCCTGGTGGCATATACATGTAATCCCAGCTACTTGGGAGGCTGAGGCAGGAGAATCACTTGAACCCGGGAGGCGGAGGTTGCAGTGAGCCAAGATGGTGCCATTGCACTCCAGCCTGGGCAACAAGAGCGACACTCTGTATCAAAAAAAAAAAAGGAATGCTGCTATGTGCAGATTACCTGAACAGCTGGTGGAAACTTTCTTCACTGATAGATTTGGTTTCTTTACTTAGGAATGGGTTAGTAGCCTCTCTAGATTCTTTTTGAACAAGGCCCTTCTGATTAAATACACTGTTGAATAATTGACTTGAAACAGGATTGCTAAACAAATGACTTGTGTAACTCAGAAACACTCTTTGACAAAAACTGACTTTAGTTCAGTCCCTGGTTGTCTTACACAAAGTCACTTGTCTACTTCTCTGCCTCCCAGTGGCCACGGCATTGAGACTGCTGTCTCACCCACTTTGGTTTGGTAAAGCCCTAGAAGTATTTTCAGTGTCCAGAACAAAGCAGCAGACATGGAAGATCTTTATGTGCAAGTCACTTGATTTTAGCTCTGTGTAGAAATTCTTCCATTCCACTTGATTCATACTTTTCTTTTTCTCACAGCTCCAGGTTTACACCCTGTACCTGGTGGAGTGTTCCCAGTCCCTCCTGCAGCTGTTGTTTTAATGAAACTTCTCCCTCCTCCTATCTGTTTCCAGGTTTGTTCACTTATTTTCATGGTAGATACTGGCTCTGTGGGTCATAGTAATTGTGTATAAAGTTACTACTACTTTAACTTGTCAGATTACTGGGATTAAAATTTATTCATGTCAAAAATAGGGTCCTTTTGTACAAGTGGATGAACTGATGGAAATTTTCCGAAGATGCAAGATACCAAATAGTAAGTAACAGAAGCTCCATTTCAGAGTGTCATTCCACGTTGTTGTCTCATAGGCAGTAGAGATTATTATTCTCTGCCACTGAAGTTTTCGAAACCAGCCAGCCAATTTGAAGTGCAGTGAAACCCAGGAGTTACCCAAACCCTCTTTGGCAGAGAAAGGCTTATTCACATTGAATTCCACTAAGTAAAATGTCATAAAACTTTATCTTTTCTATTCATGTGAACATGCACTATCAGGCTTGGCTTATGAAAATTATTAGTTTTAACAGCAGCTTTTGTCTTTTTCTTTAATTATTTAGTATCAGTAGTACTATCCCATGTTTTGCTAAAATAGTAGGCTATGAAATAAAGTATCCACAGTTGAACATACATACCCTTTCATAGTGGAATATGTTTTTACGTTTTGTTGTTTTGTTTTAATAGCTGTTGAGGAAGCTGTGAGGATCATTACTGGTGGGGCCCCAGAGCTAGCTGTAGAAGGCAACGGCCCCGTGGAAAGTAATGCAGTACTCACCAAGGCCGTCAAAAGGCCCAACGAGGATTCAGATGAAGATGAAGAAAAGGGAGCCGTTGTCCCCCCTGTTCATGACATTTACAGAGCACGGCAGCAGAAGCGGATTCGGTAGGGTTTTAAACGCCTCTGCAGAAAACTCCTGTCCAGGATTCCTTTTGCCTCAAGTGGTATGTTTAAAAGAGACAACGCTTTGTTACAAGGTTCTTGGAAACAAAGTTGTATTGTCATTGGTGCCTCTATCACATGGTTCTTGAGAAAAAACAAACCAACCTGTGTGAATTTTAGAATACGGAACAGACCTATGCTCTAAGCAAAATTAGGTTTTCAAAAATGTGAGAACAGTACAAAGTGGCAGAACCACATTTTGTTCCCTCTTCAAGGGTGTCTTGTATGTGCCGCTTGAAGATTTGTGAGTTTTTCAACAGTTTTATTTTAAAAACTGGATGGCTTATGATTGTAAAGCATTTTATCACATTTTCTGAAAACAATTGTTCTTGGTTTGCTTATGTAGAGTCCTGCCTTATTGTTTGTTTTTATTTATGGCAGAATGTATGAAATCCGTTTTGTAGTTTCAAATTTTAAAAGTCCTTTAAAAAATAAAAGGATTCAGAAACATCATGCTTCCTCTGCTTCTTTCAGATTTTATTTACAATAACTACTTATGTTATTTATCCAATACCATTTAAAAATAAATGTCAGGACAAGGAAAAGTCATCTTGTATTTACTGAATGTATTAATCACATACTCTTTCCTGGTCTGTCTTTTTTGGTGCTAACTAAAAACATTTTTAAGAGGCAAATTAAACATTTTAGAAATCCTCAAATATGAATGCATTTGCTCCCCAGTAAATCTGAGGCAGATTAAGATCCTGTTAATACTTTTGTCTCTCTTGAAAGCAACCTAAGTGTGGAAATTCCTTTAACCACCTGCTGTCTTGTTCTCACATAGAGTATCTCTTATCTAAAATACTTGGGACCAGAAGTGTTCAGGATTTTGGATTTGTTCAGATTTCAGAATATTTGCATCATACTTACCAGTTCACCATCCCTAATACAAGAGTACAAATTCCACAAAACTCCACTAAGCATTTTCTTTGTGCATCATGTTGGCACCGAAAAGGTTTTGGATTTTGGAACATGTTGGATTTCAGATTTTCAGATTAGGGATACTCAACTTGTATATTTTCACAGGGGCCCAGTGCTCAAGAACATTTTTTTTTCCATGAGCTAAACATAGATAACATTAAGGAAAATGACATTTATTTAACTAAATTCTAATTACAGTGAGCAAAAACTTGTCATGCAAATTAAGTCCAAAGAACTAGACTTTGCTCTTTGGTAACAACATTACCTCCTCTTCTCATTACTAGTTAAAAACTAAAAAGCAGGAGGGAAACAAAAAGGAGGGGAGGACAAGTATTATGATTATAAAGAAATGATCTTACATATTAGAAACAATTTAGTTTAGAATTTGAATTCAGATGTGATTAAATAATCTGACATTTAAAATCAGCTTCAAATGTCCCATAAAAGTCTTACTTGTAAAAAAAGGTTATGCTGAATCATTTACTCATATAAATTTATATGTAGCAAGGTTATATAAATTGGTCAAAAGTGTGTTTAGTTTCCAGTATTTTCCCATTAAAGCTAAAAATCGCCTCTCAAAACAAAGTCAGCTGCCTCTAATTCAGACTTTCTTATCCTTTCAAGCATCACTTTCAAGTTGTGAGTTTTTTAAAAATATCAGTTACCATCAAAACTTAAGACACAAGTAGGCCAGGTGTGGTGGCTCACTCCTGTAAATCCCAACACTTTGGAAGGCCGAGGCGGGCAGATTATTTGAGGCCAGGGGTTCAAGACCAGCCTGGCCAACAAAGTGAAACCCCGTCTCTACTAAAAATACCAAAAAAATTAGCTGGGCGTGGTAGCCCAAGCCTATAATCCCAGCTACTTGGGAGGCGAAGGCAGAAGAATTGCTTGAACCTGTGAGGCAGAGGTTTCAGTGAGCCGAGGTAGCGCCACTGCACTCCAGCCTGGGTGACAGAGCAAGACGCTCTCCAAAAAAAAGACAAGTAATACCATATGGCATAGACTTTAAAATACAGAGATGTAGGCTGGGCGCGGTGGCTCTTGCCTGTAATTCCAGCCCTTTGGGAGGCTGAAGATTACTTGAGGCCAGGAGTTCGAGGCCAGCTGGCCAACATAGTGAAACCCTATCTCTACTAAAAATACCAAAAAAAAAAAAAAAAGTTAGCTGGGCATGGTAGCACAAGCCTGTAGTCCCAGCTACTCTGCAGGCTGTGGTGGGAGGATCACCTGAGCCCAGGAGGCCAAGGCTGTAGTGGGCCATGATTGCACCACTGTACTCCAGCCTGGGCGAAAGAGTGAGACCCTGCTTCAAAAAATATATAGAGGTGTAGACTTGTTCCTGAAGTGCCATTTTTGGTGGTTAGTATCGGGGGTGAGCAGCGACTATCTGGGGCTGGTGGTGTGGGGGTAAGAAGAATTTACCAAGACAATAGTAGGTAGAGAAAGGTAGATTAGAGAAGGTATGAAAATGCACTGCAAGGTTGGAACAGGCAGAGAAGATGCTTGTCTGCAAAGAGACAAAGGCTTGCTGGGGATTTTATAAGATAGTGCCATGTGCTGAAGAGGGTTTTATGTACTACTGAGAATGCCAGTGTTGCAGTGAGCTAACTTGCAGGTGTCTGGTGATAAGTTGGGTGCAGTACGGCTACATGTCCTGGACCATGAAGAAAGGCAGACTCATAATTTATCTGCTTTTCCCTGCTCCCACCAGCCTGACTCCCTTTCCCTAATTAGGACTCCACAGTTAGTGTTTTGAAGACAAACAGGCCGGGCGAGGTGGCGCACGCCTATAATCACAGCACTTTGGGAGGCCAAGGTAGGCGGATCACCTGAGGTCAGGAGTTCAAGACCAGCCTGACCAACATGGTGAAACCCTGTCTCTACTAAAAATACAAAATTAGCCAGGTATGGTGGCACATGCCTGCAATCCCAGCTACTTGGGAGGCTGAGGCAGGAGAATTGCTTGAACCTGGGAAGGAGATGTTGCAGTGAGCCGAGATCGCACCATTGCACTCCAGCCTGGGCATCAAGAGCGAAACTCCGTCTCAAAAAAAAAAAAAGAAGACAAAACAGTTTCAAATACCTGTAAGTGATCTGCCAAAGTGTTCCCACAGACAATAAAACAAAGCCATGCGAACATGTGTGAAAAACCATTTTTTAGCGTGTGTGCGCGTGCGTGCGTGCACACACGCACACACACACTTGGTGAAAAGTGTCTTTAATCACTTTATTAGTCCATTCCCACAATGCTATAAAGAAATACCTGTGACTGGGTAATTTTTAAAGAAAAGAAGCTTAACTGGCTCATGGTTCCGTAGGCTGTATAGATAGATTAGTGGCATTTGCTTCTGGAGAAGCTTCAGGAAATGTATAATCACGGCAGAAGGTGAAGGGGAAGAGGGACGTTTTACACGGCCAGGGCAGGATGAAGAAAGGGGGGAGGTGCCACACACTTTTAAACAACCAGATTCCATGAGAACTCACTGTCACAAGAACAGCACCGAGAGGATGGTGCTAACCCTTTCATGGGAACTTCACCCCCCTGGACCAACACCTCCCACCAAGCCCTACCTCCAACACTGGGGATTACAATTTGACATGAGATTTGGTGGGGACACAGATTCAAACCATATCAATTATTATTAAGGCTACTATGTATATTATAATTGTTCCTATTGCATTTATTTATAGGATTTTTTTCTCCTAGAAATGATCAGCTCTTTGAGCATAAAAAGGATTCTCATTAGAAGAAAACATTTTCGAATGTTCTAACTGCTAGAGATATGTATGAATTTTTAGTTTTTAAGGTGATTCTGCCTGATATTTGATAATTCCTTTTGTTAAACAGTTCAACAAGCAGCATGATGTTAGACATCTGAACTTACCTTTGGAAATCTAATGTGCAGACTCATGGGATAATCAGTCCTACAATTCCAAGGACTCATATCAGTATTGCTGGACCCAAAGAAATTGCCAAAAGATATCCATCTTTTTCCTGTTTATAAAAGCAATGACAGCATCTCCTCAAGATTCTAGAACTAGACAAAAGTTTCAAGGACTATATGTATGTCCTTCCTAAACAAAAATTAGTCAAACTCTGGCCTTTACCACTAAACTTCAAACAAGAGGTTGCACCTATGTGGCCACATCTAGTACAGTAAAAGGTTAATAGAAACTACTAGTAAACTTTCTGAACAACCAAACTGTACCAAAGAAAAAGAAGGAAAAACACATCATTTCTGTTAGTATATTGACCCTGGTCAATAATTATGAATTTATTTGATATTATAACCCTGTATTGGCCTATAGTTAATAAATGTTGAGTTCAATTTTATTAAACCATAGTCATCATGGTCATAAATTATTATTATTATTTTTTTTAACATGGTAGTTCTTTGACTGTGGCAATGAGCAAGTGAACTTACGTTTTACTTAATAAAAATTTCAGCCAGGCACGGTGGCTCACATATATAATCCCAGCACTTTGGGAGGCCAAGGCGAGCAAATCACCTGAGGTCAGGAGTTCAAGACCAGCCTGGGCAGCATGGTGAAATCCTATCTCTACTAAAAATACAAAAATCAGCCGGGCATGGTGGCGCACACCTGTAATCCCAGCCACTCGGGGAGGCTGAGGCAGGAGAATTGCTTGAGCTTGGGAGCTGAGATTGTGCCACTGCACTCCAGCCTGGACAACAGAGTGAGACTCCATCTCAAAAACAAACAATCAAAACAAAAGAAAACAAAAATTTTCATAAGTCTTTTTGTTTGTTTTGAGACATGATCACAGCATAATCCTCCCACCTCAGCCTCCCAAGTAGCTGGGACCACAGGCATGCACCACCATCCACCATACCCAGCTAATTTTTTAAATTTTATGTAGAAACAGGATCTACCTGTGTTGTCCAGCCTGGTCTTGACCTCCTGGGCTCAAGCAGTCCTCCCACGTCAGCCTCCCAAACTGCTGGGATTAGCCACCATGTGAAGCCCTTCTTTTTTTTATTTTTTATTTTCTTGAGATAGGGTCTCACTTTGTCACCCAGGCTGGAATGCAGTGGCATGATCTTGGCTGAATGCAACCTCTGCCTCCCGGGCTCGAGCAATCCTCCCACTTCAGCCTGCTGAGATGGGAGCACAGGCCTATGCCACCACGCCTGGCTAATTTTTGTACTTTTAGTAGAGACAAGGTTTTGCCATGTTGCCCAGGCCGGTCTAGAGTTCCTGGCCTCAAATGATCTGCCTGCCTCGGCCTCCCAAAGTTCTGAGATTACAGGCGTGAGCCACCTTGCCCAGCCCCTCTTGTTTTAAGGTTACTTTTAAGTCAAGAAAAGTGACACTCCATCGAACCAGGCCTATAGCTTAGTTCTGGTTCTTAAGTTCGGTAGGCAATAAATGTAAGTCAGGTGTGACAGAAACCCACATGAGGGACAGTTTTAAGTAGAATTATATGTTTAGACTTTTAACACATATTTTGTAGAACTCTGGCTATTTCTGAAAGTACCAGTGAACACTTGATCGTTTAATAAACAGAGCTTACCTGGGCTTAAAGATTATCCCCTTCCCCACCCATTGAAGTTGCTTTGAATACTATGACTAAAAAGGCTTTCCATTAAAATAATTATATAATGCAAAATCCAATATAAATACACACTTGCAAATATCATTGTAGTTATTTATTTAGATTGTTTTTAAATGAGATAGTGCCTTTAAATATGACTTCATAGCCCATTATCCATTACCATTCATTCATCCACTCATTTGTTCATTCATGAATTCATTTAGTTCAAATAATATAGAGGTGGAGATGGGGAGAAATCACTGGGGTGGGGGTGGATGTCAGGAAGTAAGCAAATGTAAGACTGCAGCTCTAGTATAGAAGAGATGATGAACATAAACAAGTCTTAGGAGAGGACAGGAAGAAAACCTTCCCTGTAGGCCCGTAAAATGTGCTTGAATGAAGGGAGGTTGGGCGCTACCAGTGGAACGTAACACCACAGCAAATGTGCGCCCACAGGTAGAGGGTTACATGTTCGCCTTTGTAGTTAAAAAAGAAAGGTATAGTCCTTTTCCATGTACAAAGCATTCTATCATTCATTACCAAATGTAATCCTCACAGCAACAGTGTGAATTAGGAGTGTTCCCATTTAACAATGAAAATGCCGAGGCCTTGGGGAGAATGGCTGGTCCAATGTTGTACAACCGGTAAGGCGGCGATAGAGGAGAAAAGACTAAAACCCAGATCTTTCTCTAAATTAGGAGCTTTGTGCACAATCCTGCTACCACCAAATGTTAGAATCGGAAGGGAGCTTAAAGACCAAGTCTAGTCCTTTCATTTTAAAGGAGTTGGGAATGGGCCCTGATTTGCCCCAGCTGGTACATAACAGAGTGGAGATCCAAGCCTTGGTTTCCTGACAGCTCCCAGTCTTTCCACTCTACCACCTGGCCTCAAAATGAAAAGAAACACAAATGTTCTACCTATAAATCAGAGCTCGCCAAAAGGTCACTAGAAATCAAACAGCAAACACCTATTCTCTTTGAAATTCACCAGCAAAGCTGGTGGCAGCAACATTTCCTCTATTCCCAGGAATCTTAAGGCTTTGGAGAAATGAGAATAAGCACCTCCACAAAAACAGAACCGCTGAATAATCCATTTAGAATCTTGGCCAGTATGTGCATACTATAGGCCTATTAAGTCAAACTTATTAATAGCTTTTCTTCACAGAGAAAAAAGTTCATATATACCTACTGACTGCATTTGATCAGTAAGATATCATGTCAGTGTCCTTCTTACCTGAAGTACATTTATGGCTGGGTCATATCGTGACATAAATAATCACATTTTGTAGCTTGCTTTAGACGGAATGCGATTTTTTTTTTTTTTGAGACGGAGTCTCGCTCTGTCACCCAGGCTAGAGTGCAATGGCGCAATCTCGGCTCATTGCAACCACCACCTCCAGGGTTCAAGTGATTCTCCTGCCTCAGCCTCCCGAGTAGCTGGGATTACAGGCACGTGCCACCACACCCGGCTAATTTTTGTATTTTTAATAGAGATGGGTTTTGCCATGTTGGTAAGGCTGGTTTCGAATTCCTGACCTCAGGTGATCTGCCCGCCTCAGCCTCCCAAAGTGCTAGGATTACAGGCGTGAGCCACCGCGCCCGGCTGGAATGAGATTTTTAAAAACACCAGGACTGAGAATCCATCCACCCAACCAAGAGCCAACAAAGTAGTAGTTACTTTAAACATTCACTTATCCATGAGACTACTGAAGAAATCCAAGAGGCTTGGTGATACTGACCTCACTCTCAGTTCTATCCACAAGTAGTAAAGTACTGCCAAATACACTTAGCAATTTCAGGAAAAGACACTTGTCTCCACAACCTGTTACTGAATGCAGCATATAGAATCCATTCGATTCTGGAGGACAACACACTCCAAAGGATGTTTCGTTTTGGAAGGAGAGCTGTAGGGGAAGGTACAGGGGGATGCTTAGCAATGCTTCCTGAGTGACTAAATGAACGAAGTGGATCTCCCTGGCCCTTAGTAATAATCCTATGAGATTCCAGGAAGAAAATTAGCTTATCTTCATAGAGCAACAACAAAATGATTCAATATGAATATTGTGGTTCTGAAGTTTGCTTCCTTCATTCTTGACTTTTGCCAGTTGCAGAACTCCACCAGTGGACACCGAGGTAGTGGGCGGCCAAGAGTCTGTGAAGCCAGTTATTCATGCATCAAGATTTCAAACGGTCCAAATGGAACTCTGGCAATGTAAGAACTCAGGAGGGGAAAAATATCTTGCAAGAATCTACTCTTACAAAAGAAGAGTTTTTGAGATTTAGGAAGAATGACTGCAGGAAGTGGTGATCAGCGCTGTGCAGTTGGGGTTAAGCTCCTCTCCTTCAGCCTTGGAGCGGCAGGAAAAGGCCCCAAACACTCTGAGGCTGAGGCTTCTCTGCCCAGGAACCCAGGATCATACAACCGCCAGGCACAGTGGCCACAGAGCAGCCTCCACCTTAAGGGAACAATTCCAGACACGACCTCATTGAATACACCATGGAAGATGTTATCTTCTTTAAAAGTACCCTCATGGCAGGGCGCAGTGGCTCACGCCTACAATCCCAGCACTTTGGGAGGCCAAGGCGGGTGGATCACGAGGTCAGGAGATCGAGACCATCCTGGCTAACACGGTGAAACCCCGTCTCTACTAAAAATACAAAAAAATTAGCCAGGCATGGTGGCAGGCGCCTGTAGTCCCAGCTACTTGGGAGGCTGAGGCAGGAGAATGGCGTGAACCTGGGAGGCAGAGGTTGCAGTGAGCCGAGATCGCGCCACTGCACTCCAGCCTGGGCGACAGAGCAAGACTCCATCTCAAAAAAAAAAAAAACCCTTACAAGGAAAAAGGCAGGCAACTGCCATCTCCCAGTCACGCATCCCCAGGAACTTGGCTGTATTATATCCTGCCTCAGAGACAAACTCATCTATTGTAGGCCTGGCCTGGATTGCTGCCTTTGAAAACAAGGAAAGGTCAGCAGAATATCAACCAAGGCATGGAATTTCCAGGGAGGTCTCATTTCAAAATGTCATCAACAAGAACCACATGGACCTCTGTGAGAGGGATGATTAAACTAGCCTGAGTTTGAATGAAAGGATTATGTGTACCCAACCTGTAACAAACACCAAGGAGGTAAAGTGGCAGAGGGTCTTGTATGAGCAACAGCCCTTTCCTGATAACTTTGTGGACCGGCGGTTCCTGGAAGAGCTCTGGAAAAACATCCATGCTCGGAAATACCAATATTGGGCTATGGTATTTGAGTCCAGTGTGGTGATCCCGCAGCTGTGCAGTGTTTTTGTTTTTCTGGTTATCTGGTGGTATATGGATGAGGGTCTTCTGGCCCCCCAATGGCTTTTTGGGACTGGCCTGGCTTCTTCACTGATTGGGTATGTTTTGTTTGATCTCACTGATGGAGGTGAAGGGCAGAAGAGTGGGTGGACCCGGTGGGCTGACCTGAAGAGTGCCCTAGTCTTCATTACTTTCACTTATGGCTTTTCACCAGTGCTAAGACCCTGACAGAGTCTGTCAGCACTGACACCATCTATGCCATGTCAGTCTTCATGCTGGTAGGCCACCTCATCTTTTTTAACTATGGTGCCAATGATGCCTTTGTATCCACTGTATCCAGCACACTATCCTTGAACATGGCCATCTTTGCTTCTGGATGCTTGGCTTCCACCTTCCCCAGTCCCTGCATGTCTTCATCATGGGAACACTTGCCATCCAGATTTTTGTCCTGTGGCTCATGCTACAGAAGAAACTAAAGGCACGGACTCCCAAGGGCTATGTGGTGGTCACACTGCTTTTTGCCTTTTCGGTCTTGGAAGGCCTACTGCCTATTAGTGCTGTGGGAGCCGTACTCTTTGCCCTTCTGTTGATTTCTATCTCATGTCTCTGTCCATTTTACCTCATTCGCCTGCAGCTTTTTAAAGAAAATATTCAGAGGCCTTGGGATGAAGCTGAAATCAAGGAAGACTTGTCTAGGTTCCTCAGCTAAATTAGGGACATTCTGATAGACTAGCCTCCTAACTAGTATAAAACTTAAAGACAGGCCGGGTGTGGTGGCTCACGACTGTAATCACAGCACTCTGGGAGGCCCGAGGCGGATGGATCACGAGGTCAAGAGTTCGAGACCAGCCTGGCCAACATGGTGAAACCCCGTCTCTACTAAGAATCCAAAAATTAGCCGGGCATGGTGGCGCGTGCCTGTAATCCCAGCTATTCAGGAGGCTGAGGCAGGAGAATCGCTTGAAACCGGGAGATGGAGGTTGCAGTAAGCTGAGATCGCGCCACCACACTCCAGCCTGGGTGACAGAGCAAGACTCCGTCTTGAAAAAATAAAAAATGAACCAAAGGCTTGGGTGGTGAGGGTGCTTATCCTTTCTGTAATTCTGTGGATGAAAAAGCTTTCTGGGACCCTCTTGAATTATTCGCTGTAACAAATGAAGTGATGTGGTTTCTATTAAAAAAATAATAATGCATTCAAACAAACAAAAATAAATAAATATGAATAAAAGTACCCTCACAAAATGCAGCCAGTCTGCCAGATTACAGTGACCCAGATTCTCCAGTCTCCTGCCTGGGACCCAAAAAGATACATCTGGCTCTACTTTTTTTTGTTAAGGAGAGACAGGGTCTGGCTCTGTCACCCAGGCTGGAGTACAGTGGCATGATCATAGTTCACTGCAGCCTCAAACTCCTGGGCACAAGTGATCCTTTTGCCTCAGCCTCAGCTTGTAGCTGGGAGTACAACTGTGTGCCACCACAACAGGCTAATTTTTTTTGTATTTTTTGTAGAGACATGATCTCACTATGTTGCCTAGGCTGGACTTGAAATCCTGGGTTCAGATGATGCTCCTGCCTTGGCATTCCAAAGTACTGGGATTATAGTGTAAGCCACCATGCCCAGCCCTGTTTTTTGTTTTGTTTTTTTAATTTATCACATCATTATAGATTAGAACCAACATCAGTGCTGATCTGCATACATGTAATTTCTACCTGAGTTTCTATAGCCAGATCCAAGTCCTTGTATAAACCCTGGGACCATCAGCAATCTCAAAAATCCTGAAAGCAGAATGTATTCTGACTCTACCAGGTCTGAAATCCTTCTCATGGAGTATCTGATTTCCTCCCCATCAGTCCTATTGGAATACCTACCCAACTGCTTCTTCAAGTCTTCCTTCAAAACACAAAATCACTGCACTTCCTTACAAAGAAGGATCAGAGAAAACAGCTGCTTGCAGTAAAATGTAGCCCTTCCCCCTGGTTGTGCAGGAGTGGCTGCTGGCCTTCCTGGAGTCTTTCTGAAATGGCTTCCAAGTTTCTTTTCTTTTTTCTTTTTTTGAGACAGAGTCTCACTCTGTTGCCCAGGCTGGAATGTAGTGGTGCTATCTCAGCTCACTGCAGCCTCTGCCTCCCGGGTTCAAGCGATTCTCCTGCCTCAGCCTCCCAAGTAGCTGGGATTACAGGCGCGTGCCACCACACCCAGCTAATTTTTGTATTTTTAGTAGAGATGGGGTTTCACCATGTTGCCCAGGCTGGTCTCAAACTCCTGACCTCAGGTGATCTGCCTGCCTCGGCCTCCCAAAGTGCTGGGATTATAGGCGTGAGCCACCACGCCCGGCTAACTTGTAAGTTTCTCTTAGCTTCCTGTACAGAAGGCTTCAGGTGCCGATATTACTGCATTACTCATACAGTAATATAGTCTTACCCCTTGCTGTTGTGGCAGTTGGTCATTCCAACTTCATGGCTCTGCTTCTAATATAACATCCCTGTCTAAAATGCAGACATACATGTGTACACTTTAAAAAAAAAAAAAAAAAAAAAAAAAGAACAGATCGTCTATGAGACCCAAATCACTCACGCTCAGAGGACATGTCAGGAATTCTGGTCACTGAAGTTCCTTGAAAAATAATGCTCAAACACCAGGGATTTCCTATGACTTCCTCATCTAGGAGATTCGTGAACTCAAGCTATTTTATCTGAAAACAGTTAAATCTAATTCCAGAATTTAATTCAATCATCACATCTGTGTATTGTCTCAGGGTCAATTTTTCAGTAAGAATTCCAGACATTTCTCTTCGTTCACATTACAGTAAACTATTTTTCAATACATTTCCTCCTTGACTTTCAAGGCTTGAAAGTCAAAGACTTTCCTTTCACTAGATCTCATAAGTCATAACTGCTCTCAACCAGATGCAGGAGTAATTTTGTATAAAAGAACAAGCTTTTTAAAGTCCAATAACTGTATCTTTGGGGGAAGGTTAAAAGAATGTTTAAATACAAAAAAGAAAGTAAAAAAAAAAAGAGAGAGAGACAAATAACTCTCCTCTAGAAAAAAGGGCTTGGGAGCCCTGGCTAGGCCAGGCAGGGAGGAAGCAATAAATAGGGGGAGAAAATGGCAATAAGACGTTATATAGCCCTTCTAACAAAAATACCAGAAGGGAGGGGTGAGGGACAAGGCTGTCTGAGGGAGGGCAGGAGGTGAGGCCATGGCTTGGTCTCTTTTGCGCTTGGATGGCCGTCAGCTCAGCATGAGGCATCTGAAAGAACTACCCAGATTGCAGAAGAGAGAGGTCCCAGCCTCCTTGGAAGGACATGATGGGGGAGGAGTGGAGACAACAGCTGAGTGTTACCTGTAAAACTCGAGAACAAAATGCTTCTTTGATTTGTAAACTTGCACTCATAAATACAATCTCTCAAAATAGAATTCAGTGGATTTCTCAACAAGTCTTTTCAACAGTGATACACAATATTCTTCCCTTTGGAATCGGTGCTGTTAAATAGACATGTACTATATAGCCATTTTCCAATGCAACATTAGAGTACAGAACAGGTATTCTGTGGCTAGTGAGTAATACTGCTGCTGTAGGGTGCATACACGTTAGGATCGGACGAGGATCTTACTCAGGATTGCATCGTAGTAGGGACAGAAGACCATCTTGTTATAGTTGACCAGGCGAGCAAATTTAATAGCAACTTCCTCCAGCTCTCTCTGAACTGGACTGAGTCCCCCAGGGACTGTGGGCAATGGCTTCTGATGACCCGAGGCAAGGTAGGTTTCTAAGAAGGTCAGGATTCGAGATTCTGTGACAAAAAAGAAAGTGGTCAGTTGTTTCTTGTCCTTCACCTTACAAACCTTACTGTGCTTCAGTTCTTAGCTTAACCATCACCTCTTAGGGGAAGTTGTCCCCGATCAATACTCCCAGACCAGATACCCACAGCACCTTGCACTTCTGCATATTCATCCCATTTATAATGTTTTCTCTCCCCTCTAGATGGTTAGTTTCATGAAGGTAGGAGCCATGCTCATCTTGTTCATCATGTCTCCTCAGCACTCAGCACAGTGACTGGCATGAGACCCAGCTCCCAGGAGAAGCTCAAACACACTTGGAATGCAAGAATGAATGCATGAGTGGCCAGGCGCGGTGGCTCACGCCTGTAATCCCAGCACTTTGGGAGGCTAAGGTGGGCGGGTCACCTGAGGTCAAGAGTTCGACCAGCCTGGCCATTGTGGTGAAGCCCCGTCTCTACTAAAAATATAAAAAGTAGCCAGGTGTGGTGGCGCACACCTGTTGTCCCAGCTACTCGGGAGCCTGAGGCACAAGAATCACTTGAACCCAGGAGGTGGAGGTTACAGTGAGCTGAGATCATGCCATTGCACTCCAGCCTGGGCGACAGAGCCAGACTCTGTCCCCAAACAAAACAAAACAAAAAAAATGAATGAATGCATGAGTGAGTAAAGGAAGACTGGAGACATGCTCTGCTCTCCGAGGAGCAACACATCCTGAGACCATTGTTAGCCATCGCTGACGATCACATAAAAAGGTGGAAGATTAAAGCAGGAATTACAGGTTCAAAAAAGACTTTTTTCCTACTAAGCCTCCATGAAAGCAGCTCGTGCTTCCTTCTCTGATGCCTGCATGGAAGTCATGGGCATTTGTAAACTTGTCCTACTTGGAGGAATAATTTAGGTTGATGCTTTTCTAGTCCATTCCCCTTCACAATGCTTTTGTACTCTTGTGTATCCTCATGAAAAAAGATTTGATCAAGCCACACTTCTTGCAGATTTTATCACAAAAACAACAGAGACATTTATATGGAATAGACTTTTTCAAACTACATGCCTTGCCTCCTGCCTGGGGAATCCTCTCAGGTGCAAATAACTTATACCCTCCTGAGCCTCACAACACAGACAGAAACTGCTGACAGGACAGGGCCTAACACCCTTACTCTTTTTTTTTCTCGAGACACAGTTTCACTCTGTCGCCCAGGCTGCAGTGCAGTGGCACAATCTCAGCTCACTACACCTCCGCCTCCCGAGTTCAAGCGATTCTCCCCACTCTGCCTCCCGAGTAGCTGGGATTACAGGCGCATGCCACCATGCCCAGCTAATTTTTGTATTATTAGTAGAGGCGGGGTTTCACCATGTTGCCCGGGCTGGTCTTGAATTCCTGACCTCAAGTGATCCGTCTGCCCCCGCCTCCCAAAGTGCTGGAACTACAGGAGTGAGCCACTGCACCCAGCCCTATCACCCTTCTTCTTTTTTTTTTCTTTTTTGAGATGGAGTTTCCCTCGTCTCCCAGGCTGGAGTGCAGTGGCGCGATCTCGGCTCACTGCAACCCCCGCCTCCTGGGTTCAAGTGACTCTCCTGCCTCAGCCTTCCGAGTACCTGGGATTACAGGCACACGCCACCATGCCCAGGAAATTTTTGTATTTTTTGTAGAGACGGGGTTTCACCATGTTGGCCAGGCTGGTCTCAAACTCCTGACCTCAGGTAATCTGCCCACCTTGGCCTCCCAAATGCTGGGATTACAGGCATGAGTCATCACACCTGGCCCTATCACCCTTATTCTTTTTTTTTTTTTTTTTTTTGAGACAGACTTTAGCTCTTATTGCCCAGGCTGGAGTGCAATGGCACAATCTCGGCTCACCACAATCTCCACCTTTCAGGTTCAAGCGATTATCCTGCCTCAGCCTCTCAAGTAGCTAGCATCACAGGCATGCACCACCATGCCTGGCTAATTTCGCATTTTTAGTAAAGGCGGAGTTTCTACATGTTGGTCAGCCTGGTCTCGAACTTCCAATCTCAGGTGAACTGCCCGGCTCGGCCTCCCAAAATGTTGGGATTATAGGCATGAGCCACTGTGCTCAGCACCCTTATTCTTAAGTTAGTTTGGTTCTCTAAGGTTCCCAGGGCTGGCAGCCTCACTGAAGTAGAAATCTTTGTATTGTTCCTACCCAAAGACTGGTTTTTCTTTTCTTTCTTTCTTTCTTTTAGAAACAGGGTCTTGCTCTGTCACCCAGGCTGGAGTGCAGTGGTGAAATTGTAGCTCACTGCAGCCTCAAACTCCTGGGCTCAAGTGATCCTCCTGCCTCAGCCTCCCGAGTAGCAAGGACTACAGATGCATGTCACTAACCTGGCTAATTTTTTTTTTTTAATTTTTTGTAGAGATGGGGTCTCACTATGCTGCCCAGATAGTCTCGAACTCCTGGTTTTAAGTGATCCTCCCCTTAAGGGCTGGTTTTCAATCTGTCGGTAACTGGCTATTACAAAACAACCCAGGCAGCAGGATGAGTAGCAACTTGCTGGCCACAGGTCTACTTACAGGCACTTTCCTGCCTCCCTATGAAGGTTGTGAGTATAAATCTTGGCTGGATGCAGTGGTTCGTGCCTGTTAACCCCAGCACTTTGGGAGGCTGAGGCAGGCGGATCACTTGAGTCCAGGAATTTGAGACCAGCCTGGCCAACAAGGCAAAACCCCATCTTTAGAAGATATACAAAAAATTAGCTGGGTGTGGTGGTGCATGCCTGTAGTCCCAGCTACTTGGGAGTCTGAAGTGGGAGGACTGCTTGAGCCTGGGAGGTGGAGCACAGAGGTGGAGTGCAGTGAGCCGAGATCGCATCACTGCACTCCAGTCTGGAAGACAGAGTGAGACCCTGTCTCAAAAACAAACAAACAAAACTATGTATTCACAGCATACAGCATGATGTTTTAAATGTATGTATATACTACAAAATGATTAAGTCGAGCTAATTAACAGAATTTTTCATAAAGCCATTGCTGTGATAACTAATAGCTAATATTATAGAATATTTTAAATATTTTATAGAATATGCATTAAAATATTTTAATACTTCAAGTTTATTATAAATTTTAAATAGCAATATCTTAATATTACCATTTTAAGTTATTATATTTGATATGTTAATAGTATTACATACTAATATTTAATAATATTTTAATAGTATTTTTAAATAACATCTTCATTTTACTATTCAGCTCTTTTCGTAACAGCTCCTATTTACTGAGCACTTACTATGTGCTGCCAGGCACTACGGAAAGCGCTTCACCTTCTCATCCCAGGGAGTTCCTGCAGCGACCTTGTAAGGTTGCTGCCCTTATTCCTGCTTTAGAGATGAGGAAACTCGAGTGTCAAGTTACACGCCCAAGCTGCCCTGGGACACTGCTTGTGAACCCAGGAGAGTGATTCCAAGGTTGCAGCCCTTAGAACAATGATGGCTGCCTGGTCCTGTGCCCATCTGTTGGGTGGCCCTGGTCTCTCTGTGGTGCTTCATTACACCATCTCCTCACCCATCAGCACCTTAACTCCAGCTGAGCCCTCAGGTTTCTTCAGATGGACTCGTGCTCCAGCCCCTCAGAGGGCACATCCCTGCTGCCTGCCTTCCCCAAACGTACCCATGATCCTGCGAATGGGGTCATCGGGACTGGCCACGGCCTGGATCTGGCCCTTGAGCACGGTCTCCTTGTCCGTGGTGAAGGGAGAGGACCCACACAGGGAGAGGCAGCTGCTCACCTCCAGGCACACCTTCTCCCCGATGGTAGTGAGGACGTCCTTCAGATGGAAGGAGCTGGGGCAGAGGAGGGGAGAAAGGGCCTATAAGTAAAATACACCTCTAACCAGCTCCAACCGCCCACACCCGGGTGAGAATGACGGCACCAATAACTGGATTTGTGTGTTCAAGGGACAATTTGAGACTCTTTTCCCTGCCACCTTACCTCTCAGGCTGTGCATACCTGACCAGGGGGACTTTCTTTCTCTCCCTCTGCTAGAAAGGACAGTGGGAAGGGCAGGGGCTCAGAGTATACCAGGACCAACGACCCAAAGCACAACTTCCTGCTAGCCTCTGTGTGATAAAATCAGCCTGGAATGACCTCAGAATATCTTGATATACCTCTGGAGGAATACACAAGAAAGCAGGCATTTGGTAGCTGTGGGACAAGAGGGAGAGAGAAACTCTTCATTGGATGCCCTTTTGTACCTTTTGATTTTTGAAACATACACATGTATTAACTAATTTTAAAAGAATAAAGAGGCCGGGCTCAGTGGCTCACGCCTATAATCCCAGAACTTTGGGAGGCCAAGGCAGATGGATCAGGAGTTCTAGGTCAGGAGTTCAAGACCAGCCTGGCCAACATGGTGAAACCCCATCTCTACTAAAAATACAAAAAGATTAGCTGGGCATGGTGATAGGTGCCTGTAATCCCAGCTACTCAGGAGACTGTGGTAGGAGAATCACTTGAATCCAGGAAGTGGACGCCGAGATCACGTCATTGCACTCCAGCCTGGGCAACAAGAGTGAAACTCCATCACAAAAAAATAAAAAAATATATAAAAATTAAAAAATTTTTAAAAAATAAAAGAATAACGAAAAGTGAAATCCTAAAGTTAAAAAAAAAGAGTACCTGGATACCCTGGGTCCCCCAGGCTCTCCCAGGGTGCCTGTGGGGAGCCCCCATGCTGGCAGGCATGCTGTGAGAAGGTAACTGCCTCTGTTGTGGGTCTAGATCCTTTGTATGTAGAATTACTGGGGGGCATGGGAGCAAGCCCTGGCACTCACCATTGGCACCAGCTCTGTGCCCACCCCTGGAGGACCAGGGAGGATATGGGAGTGCAAGGCTGGGCTCCCAAGAAAGCACTGACCTGGATCCCACCCTCAGCGGGAGCTTTGACAGAGTAGTTCTCCAGGCAGGGGACCTAGGTGACAGCCCAGAGCTGTACCTGTGCAAAGGCCTCAGGCTAGGCCCTCAGCTGAGCAAACAAGTTTCCTGGCCTCTCAGCAAACTAGTTTGACTGTCAAAACTGTTGAGGCCCTAGTCACAACTTACGGACACGCCCCACACTGCACTGAACACAGCCATGCTTTGTGAAAATTCAGCAGTAAAATTCCTCCATTTTGTAAGGATGAGAATGTTTAGGGGGTACTTCCCTTGAAGAAGTCTCTGAATTGGACCTTGTTAGATAGAGCATTTACTTAGAACCACTCAAAGATATTCTATAGGCTGGAAACCATAGAAGTCACCCAACATGACTCCATGGTAGGAGCGGTCACTGAAGCCTGCACGCGTGCAGATGCGGACTCGTGCTGGGTAAGAAAATGATGCATTACACTGAGCACAGAACGCCTACAGGGAACAAGCAAGGGCAGAACACTTCAACCACATACATGCAGCTCTGCAGGAATATAGCTGGTTTCTCTCATGACCTTCCTCTAGGGCTCTGCTTTTCACTGTTAGTCGGTTATGAAAGCAATTCAGTGGGTAGCAACCAATTTTTTTTTTTAATGGAATAAGAATAGAGTAGAAACAATCAGGCTGCATTAAACACAGTTAGGGTCAGTTCCAGTTTGAGAAGTTTTCGTTTCTGTTACACGTGTGTTAAGTGTGTACTAGGTCACAATGGAAAATGAATTTCTTACTGCAGGTCCTAGTCACAAACATTTTTGTCCCAATTAATGTCTCTGGGTTCCAGTTTCTTCATAAGCTCCAGTAAGAGTTTAATACATTTGAATGGCTTTGGGAGAGGAATAAAGCACTCAACAAACAAACACAAGAACCTTGGAGGTCAGGAGACAAAGACAACCCCATTAAAGAAGGAAGGGGTCAGACAGCATCCTGCTCCCTGCGTAGGGAGAACAAATGAGTTGATGGCACTCAACACCGAGCCAGGCCCCGGGAGGAGCATGCTAACAGGGAATGGAGGGCCGCGGGACCTCTAAGCCCGGGATCTCCAATTCCTCAAGGCAAGCAACCATTGGTACCAGCGCTCCCCACCCTGCTCATGGCTTACCCCCCAGCCCGAGCCACTTCTTCTCTCGCCTCCTAAATGCTCCCTCACATCTACTATGTGCCCCATGCCAAAATTTAAACTTAAGGGCATAAATCTAATTACGTTCCCCCTCTTGCTTCAAATCCTTCAATGGCTCCCTACTGCTCTTAGGACAATAACCCAACTCCTTGGTGTGGCCTCTAAGGCCCGACAGGCTACTCGGCTAGTCACACACATTTTGAAGCCACTATCCTAGAGCTCTGCTAACCCTGCAGCAGATTCTAACTTTGACCCTATGACCCTAAATAAACTCTGCTGGGGTCTTCGCCAAGTGAACCAACTGAGACAGCAAGGTTTCTTCTCAGTTCCTAGAGAGTGGCCCTGGGCTCTGCCTTACAGTGGGAGACCCCTCTGGGAGACTCCAGTCGGCTCTCTGACATCCACTGCGTCCCATCCACGCATCAAAGTTCCACTTACGG
Source organism: Homo sapiens (assembly GCF_000001405.40). NCBI lineage: Eukaryota > Metazoa > Chordata > Mammalia > Primates > Hominidae > Homo > Homo sapiens. The sequence goes on along the minus strand of NC_000011.10, from coordinate 33,066,009 downwards.
CAGGTGCATATCTGTTAGCAAAATCTTCACAATCATCTTGAGTTTCTCAGCAAAGTCGGCCTGGCTGGAAATTCCTGGCGCTGCCATGCTGAAGGTGACCAGCAACACAGCCCCCAGGATGGTCAGTTGTTCCAGCTGCAACTGGAGCTCGTGGAAGCGAGACTGGTCCATTAAAACTGTCTGTAATGAATAGAAGAGGCCATCGCTGAGCTGCAGGTCCAGGTTGGCCAGCAGAGGGCGGGAGCGCCACAGCCCCCACACCTGCCTCTGCAGCTTCCCTCAGGGTTTGCGCTAGTGTGTCAGAGCTTTGAGGGAGTCTGGTGTGAAATAACCCCTCTATCTCAGAGCCGTTCCTCCTGAGCAAGGATGCAGTATAGCGCCCTCACTAAGAACACAGACAGGCCTGGGTGTAAAGCCAGGCTCCGTGCTTAATACCATGACCTCCCCGGCTGGCCGCGGTGGCTCACGCCTGTAATCCCAGCGCTTTGGGAGGCCGAGGTGGGCAGATCACCTGAGGTCAGGAGTTCAAGACCAGCCTGACCAACATGGTAAAACCCCATCTCTACTAAAAATACAAAACTAGCCGGGTGTGGTGGTGCATGCCTATAATACCAGCTACTCGGGAGGATGAGGCAGGAGAATCTCTTGAACCCAGGAAGCAGAGGTTGCAGTGAGCTGAGATTGCACCTTGGTACTTCAGCCTGGGCAACAAGAGTGAAACTCCTTCTCAAAAAAAAAAATAGCATGACCTCATGCATGCATCCCCAACTTTGTCGGGCCTCTGCAGAATGGGGACTCCCACATCACAGGGCTGTTTTAAAGCTGAAGAAAGATGCTACATATAAAGTGGCTGGCAGAGCCAGCACTCGATAAATAAAAGTTATACTTATTGTTAGGAAGAAAAGTATAATGAGGCACAGACCTAGGGTCACCAACTCCTCCCAGTTTGTCTGGGACTGTCCCAGTTTTCAAATGGAAATTCCCAAGTCCTGTGAACCCTCACTCAGTCCCTAGCAAACTAGGACAGCCAGTCACCCTGTACAGAGCAATGGAAGGCCAGGTGCGATGGTGGGTGCCTGCAGTCCCAGCTACTGGGAGGCTCAGGCAGGAAGATCACTGAGGCCGGAATTTCGAGGCTGCAGTGCACTACGATTATGCCTGTGAATAGCCACTACACTGCAGCTTGGACAACATAGTGAGACTCCATCTTAAAACAACAACAACAAAAATCCCAGAGCAATGGAAGGGAGGACTGCCTTGCAGGCAGAGCCTACACTTATTCATCTTGGTATCCGCTCAGCACCCAGCACAAAGGAAGCTTGTAAGAACTGGCGAGTAAATAAAGAGGAAGAGAAAGAAACAGGAAGCACAGAGAGTAGAAGTGACAGAGAACAATCTAAAGCCTCCCGGAAAGCAAGCACATTCCCATGACTGCCTCCCCCATGTTAAAGACAGTCCTGGGTCCTACCATGCCAGCGCCCCCACCCGTGTGGCTGAGGGAAGGAGAAGGGAAAGGCTGCACAGATGGGAATCTGATCTGAGAGTTTACAGGCTCATCGAATGGACTCTAAGGACCTTTCTTGCTGTCAGAAACTGAGATTTGCCAAGTCAAGACATGAACAATGTGGGTCACAGCCAAGAAGTAAAAACCCTGAGGATTGAGAATCCTCTGCTGATACAAATACAATCCCAAGGACTCATCGTCGGCCTGTTTTCTGACTTCACATGGCTTTGTGGCTTCCCAACAGCAGGACGTGAGTTTAGGATGCAGATTGCCAAGGATCAATTCCTGGAGTAGACAGCTGTCCCCAGGGACCATCACCATCTTCCCCACAGCGTTTCTTTTCTTTTCTTTTCTATTTATTTTTTTTACGAGAGGGTTTATTCATAAGACTGCCAAGTGAGGAGGCTGGAGAACAGGTCTCACATCCCCCTCTCCATAGAGAGGGCTTAGGGATATTTATGGGATGAAGAAGCAGGGGTATCTAAGGCCTGGGGAAGATGATCAGCGGTGGGGAAAAGGGAGGTATTGGATGGTCTCCCACAGCTATTTTTAAATAGACATGTCAGGCTGAGAACTTCCCTCCAGAAGAGAACATGCCACAGTTCAAAGGGAACATTTTCCCATCTCCAATTTGACATTCTCTTTAGAGCTTCCTCCAGCACAAAACGGGGAACTCAGAGGCAAGAGGTGAAACCTTAAGCTCACAACTTCTTGAAAGGAAAAATAAGGAACTTATAAGAAAGATATTTAGAGAAGTATCTGGATCTGAGGCTAGTGATAAGAAGCTCACGTACCCCCCAAAAAGAGAGGGGGAGTCTACATAACAAAACAGCTATTTAGAGAAACACTGGGGGAATCCCTTCTTAGTCATCTTCTTAAAGAGGTCTTGCAGTTAGAAGTATGTATTGTGAAAAACATAAAAAGAAAAAAATATTGTTCAGCATGGAAGGGGAAGAAGTTTCTTTAGATAAAGCTGTGAACAACCACACCTCTGTTGTGGTTTCCATCAAGATGAGTAAAAACAGGAGAAAAATTCAGCAGCACAGACTGGAGCCTCATACATTGCTGGTGGGATGGTAAAATGATGCAGCTGCTTTGGAAATCAGTTTGGCAGTTCCTCAAAATGTTAAACTTAAGAGTCACCATGTAACCCAGCAATTCTAATCCTAGGTACGTAACCAAGAGAGGTAAAAACATATGTCCATGCAAAAACTTGTACTGGAATATTCACAGAAGCATAATTTATAATAACAACCCAAATGTTTGTCAACTGATGAATGAATAAACAAAATGTGGTACATCCATACAGTAAAATATATTATTCAGCCTAAAAAAGAAAGGAGGGCTGGGCATGGTAGCTCATGCCTGTAATCCCAACACTGGGAGGCCAAGGAGGGAGGACCACTTGAGGCCAGGAGTTTAAGATCAGCCTGAGTAACATAGCGAGACCCCTGTCTCCACAAAAAACACACTTAAAAATTAGCTGGGGGTGGTGGTACACTCTTGTAGTCCTAGCTACCCAGGAGGCTGAGGCAGGAGGATCACTTGGGCCCTGAAGTTCAAAGTTACAGTGAGCTGTCGTACCACCTAGCCTGAGCAATTCAATGAGACCCTGTCTCTAAAATTTAAAAAAATTTTAAAAAACCCAGAAAGGGAACACTGACACATACTACAACATAAATGAACCTTGAAGACATTATGCTAAGTAAAATAAGCCAGACCCAAAAGGACAAAGATTGTATAATTCCACTCATATTAAGTACCCGGATTAGTCCAATTCACAGAGACTCAAAGTAGAATGGTGGCTGCCAGGGGCCAGAGGGCGGGGGCAATGGGAATTACTGTTTGGTGTGTTTGGTGGGAAGACAGTTTCACAGAAGGAAAAATGAAAATGTTTTGGAGGTGGCTGGTGGCAATGGTTGCACAACAATGTGGATGCACTTAATGCCACTGAACTGGACAACTAGAAATGGTTAAAATGGTAAATTTTATGTTATGTGTATTTTACCACAACAACAAAAAAAACACAGTGGAAAAGAGGACTAAACTACTGCTATATGTGCTACAACGTGAAAAAACATTGGTGAAAGAAGCCAGGCACAAAAGGCTGGTAGTGTATGATTTCATTTAAATAAAATGTCCAGGATAGGCAAATCCATAGAGACAGAAAGCAGATCTGTGGCTTCAGGCGTTGGAGGGAGGGGGGGAGGGCAGTGACCGCTGATGGATGCAGCGTTTCTATTGGAGGTGATGAAAATGTTCTCAATTAAACAGTGGCAATGGATGCGTAACTCTGTGACTATACTAGAAAACACTGAGTTGTACACTTTAAAAGGGAGAATCTTCTGGTACATGAATTATATCAGAATAAAGCTATTCTTTTTATTTTTTATTTTATTTATTTACTTATTTATTTTTATTTTTTGAGACAGAGTCTCGCTCTGTCGCCCAGGCTGGAGTGCAGTGGTGCAATCTTGGCTCACTGCAAGCTCCGCCTCCCAGGTTCAAGCAATTCTCTGCCTCAGCCTCCCAAGTAGCTGGGGCTACAGGCCCCTGCTACCACGCCCAGCTAATTTTTTGTATTTTTAGTACAGAGGGTGTTTTGCCATGTTGCCCAGGCAAGTCTTGAACTCCTGACCTCAAGCAATCTGCCTGCCTCTGCCTCCCAAAGTGCTGGGATTACAGGAGTGAGCCACCGTGCCTGGCCAAAGCTATTCTTTTTAAAAAGTTCAGCAGCACAAAAACAAATATGAGTAGTGAGATGGCTCAGGAGACCTACTTCGGGGAACGGCCTCTGGAGGTGGTCCCACTTCAGAAGCTTCAGGTAAGCGTAATTCTGGACAGCAACAGGGCTCAGCCTGGGCATGTCCCCAGAGCCAGCAGCCATTCCCCCCACTGGCAGGGCGTGTTTATACTTCTGAGTCATAAGGTCCTCTGAGGCTTCTTCCAGCCACTGGGTGACAAAGTCCAGGGAATCTGTGAAAAACAAAGCTGCACACATTACCTTGACACCAAGAAGGGATGCTTCTCGGAATTACTTAAGGGACAATCGATGTCCTGGTGGAGTGATAAAGTATAAAGTATGAACTTTGGAATCAAATAAAACTTGGATCAAATCATAGTAGTGCCAATGACTAACTGAGGGATCTCAGGCAAGTCATAATGTGTCTGAGTTTCAGATGCCTGATATAGGCAAATTTACAACACCCACCTCACAGGCTGTTGTGAGGATTAAACAAGATAATGAATAAGCCAGGCATGGTGGCTCATGCCTGTAATCCCAGCACTTTGGGAGGCTGAGGTGGGAAGACTGCTTGAGCCCAGGAGTTCGAGACCAGCCTGGGCAATGTGGCAAGGCTCTGTCTCTACAAAAGATACAAAAATTAGCTGGGCATGGTGGCACATGCCTGTAGCCCCAGCTAGCTGGGAGGCTGAGGCAGGAGAATCACTTGAGTCCTGGAGGTTAAAGTTGCAGTGAGTGGTGATCACACCACTGTACTCCAGCCTGGGGGACAGAGCTAGACCCTGTCTAAAATAATAATAATAATAGTAACAAATACATGACACCTAGCCAGGCCTTGCCACCCACCTGGTATTTAACAAACCTTCCTTCCCTTCTCTCCCATCCTGACCACTGCATGAGATGGACCCCAAAGCCCTGGCAACTCCAGCTCTAGAGACAGATAGGATGAGACACCAGCTAGAGTTTCCCTGTGTAAAGTATCCTCTACACTGATGATGAGGCTTTTCCTTGTTTAGATCTTAACCTTGTATCAATCTGGCTTCCTTTCAACCTGGGGGAAAGTGAACTCTGTCAGGGAAGCCCCATCTGGCTTTCAGCAGCCCTCCTGCACCCCTGCTTTTCTAAGCTTGGTAATGCAGGGGGCACTCTGAGGGATACAGAGAGAGAGCTGGAGGATCTCACACATCATCTGATAAAAACTGCACCTGTCAGGTCCCAGCAGGTGTTGCAGCTCTGTTAGTGGAGGCTTCCTGCTTCCTTAAAACCAAGTGGGCGGCCAAGGTCACAGCTGTGGTTTGCTCTTCACTGGGGCAGGGGGATGCAGCTCCAGTTTACCCTGAGCTCTCGGTCATGACTCCTGGGCCATCTGGCTTCACCCTCTCTTCTGCTGATAATATTCTCCGTAACCCCCCAGCTTTGGGAAACCCAGGCTTTCATGTTGTGAGTTAAGTGCTAGATGCAGGCACTGTAGCTGCTTCCACCCTACCAGTGAGTCCTCCACTATGCCCCAGCTTCCAGGTCCAGGCCTTAATATTACGGCTCTTCAGGCTACAAAACTCTGCCTAGCGGAGGTTGCAGTGAGCAGAGATCGTGCCACTGCACTCCAGCCTGGGTGACAGAGTGAGGAGACTCTATCTCAAAGAAAACAACAACAACAACAAGAAAAAACTCTTCCCAGTACTCTCACAACACTGGTGAGAGTGTGAGCTTGTGGTCAATCCATTCTGGTCAAAAATCTCCCAAAACCTGTTTCCAACATCTGTAAAATGGGATTAAAAAAAAGGTGCCTGGCTCATCAGCTTACTGTGTGAGGATTACATATGATCATGTACATCCAGCCCTTGGCACAAGCCTGGCACTTAGTAAACATTACCAAACTTCTTCTACTTCTACCTCTACCCTGTCCTTTCTCAACCTGCCCCGGCCCCAGCACTACCTCAGACTCCTCTGCCTGGGGCTGGATGAATCAACTGCATGGGGCATTCACTTAACTAATCTGGTCAGGCAACCCAACCAACCCAGAGACTGCTGTTTTCATCTCCTCGTCAGCAAAGTTAGAGGCCAAATGGAATTCATCATACATTGAATCTGAAGACTGAAATTTACCCAGAATGTCAGTTAGCAATGCAGAGACCATAAAAAGCACCCTAGAAATACAACGTAGTTTTAGATTCTGAGAGTCGTCTGTTTTCTGCAGTCATCGGAGAGGTTCATAAAAATGAGACTCTTCCTGGGTATGAAACAAGAAGATTTATGCATCCAGAACAAAAGCAAAGTTAAATTTCCTGCTGTGCCACACAGGGAGAAGAAAAGTGAATTAACATTCACAGGATGTCTGTCATGTTTTCAAAAATCAAGACCAAGAATGTATTTTACTTCAAACTGGTGTTTTCATCAAAAAACCATTTATAATTTAGGAATTCATTGTTTTTAATTTCTATTCTCATAGCCTACTCACATTCCTTTTGCTTGTGAATTAAGTTTTCTTTTCAATGCTTAACAACTCTAGATGTAGTCCCAACATTTTGTGCTTTTCCTTCTTCAAATTAGACTATTCTCCTACTAAATTTTAGTTTTGTTCTGAAAATAATATTATGCAACAAGCTATGGCAGCTAAAATGAAAAACCACAGACAACAAAAAAAGTACCACAAAATATTCAACATACTTGGTTGCCTCTCCAAAATCTCTTGAAACTTCTTCCTTTCGTATTCAACTGACTGCTGCATGAGATGAGGCCTGATGCTACTGATAGCAAAGTTGGCCATGTCCACTTTCATTAGGTCCAACACAGAAAAAATTTCTCTGAAAGAAAAAAGGATTTAGAAGCAAGCATTTGTAAAGTAAACATAGCATTAAAGGAAAAGAGGACCAGACGCGTGGCTCACACCTGTAATCCCAACACTTTGGGAGGCCAAGGCGGGAGGACTGCTTGAGCCCAGGAGTTCCAGACCAGCCTGGGCAGCATAGCAAATGTGACAACATGATAAAAACTGATGGATCCACATGAAGGGCTTGTGAGTGTTGATTGTACTGTTTTTGTAACTTTTCTGTAGGTTTGGAATTTTTCAAAAGAAAATGTTGAAGGAAATTAATGTATAAAAAATATATCTATGTATCAAAATGATAAGAGTGATTATGCCTCTGAGAGGTAAAATTATGAGTAAATGTCTTCTTTTTACTTTTCTGCATTTTACAAATTTTTTTTTTTTTTTTAAATCCATGAGTACCAAGACTTCAGGAAGTTTAAATTGAAAATAGTTCTGGTCTGGGCACAGTGGCTCACGCCTGTAATCCCAGCACTTTGGGAGGCCAAGGCAGCCAATCACGTGAGGTCAGGAGTTCGAGACCAGCCTGGCCAACGTAGTGAAACACCATCTTTACTAAAAATACAAAAATTAGCTGGGCACGGTGGTGCGTGCCTATAATCCCAGCTACTCAGGAGGCTGAGGCACGACAATTGCTTGAATCCAGGAGGTGGAGGTTGCAGTGAACCAAGATCACGCCATTGCACTCCAGCCTTTGCAACAGAGTGAGACTCTGTCTCAAAAAAAAAAGAAAAGAAAAAAAAGAAAATGCCTCTGAATTGTAGTTGCACGGAGTATGATTAACATATTTCCATACCTGAAAAGGGGCACTATTTCCTTAATGTCCTTTAGTTTCTTAACTTCCTCATCTCGAGCAGGTGCACACAGTGTCCCCATCATGCCAATAATGAATTCTGCCAGCTTGGAAATGTCTAGCGCCCCATTCTCTGCTTCCTGCTTTATCAGATCCAGATCCAAGACTTCTGTTATCTGGTTTCTCAGTCTAGTATGACCAGGCAGCAAGAAAGATAAGAGAGTCTACAAGAGAACACAGCTACGTTTAATCAAAATTCTTTAGACATCATTTCTAATTATATGTAATTTATAACTATCCAAATAAGGGCTTCTCAATTGCTACGTAATATTGCACATATTTTACTTCTTATTCAACAAACCTACAGAAAAACATGTTTACAAATCATTTACAATAGCTACTTAAGCTTCCATTTAAGCCCTAGGTAGCAATTAAATGGATAGAAGAAAAAACTGTTAATGGTGAAAAAAGAAAAGCATGTTTATTAATGTGAGCCTGTGAGCCAACCATAGCTGATGACAATTTCCATGCATACATTTCTTCTTTGATGCTACTGCTAAAGGCGCTGCAAAAACAGTCCCTCCACCTAAAGCTTTCTCTGTCCCAAAGGCTGAGTCACTTTTTGGCCATTATAAATGGAATGTGTCCACACCTATTAAAATTTATAAATAAACTAGATTTTGTGAAATAACTTTGTTGTCTTAAATGCCTTCAGGTTATCATGGTTTGCTTAAAACTTTTTTTTAAAAAAGGGCATTAAGCCAAAAACACTCTTGATCCACCTTCTGGCAAGTACTTTAACTTCTTGATCCTTCAATTTCTTTAAAGTCTTCTGGTGGTGACACAAGAAGTTGAATAAACACTCCTAACACACCAGAAAAGCATCACAATTCACTCTTTGCCTCACCTCTTTGATTTCTCCTACAAGTTTGATAGCATGGTCATATGCTGGGGGATCTTCACTTAGCTGCACACTCAAGCAATCCCAAAACGCTTTATGTACAATCTCCTTTACTCTCTTCTTCAAGCTGGGGCAGTGAAAAAAAAAAGGAGGGGGGCAAAAACCAAAATATTTGAGTTTCAAATCACTTTCAAAAGCACAAATACTATGGGTTTAGGGTAAGATCAATCCCAGTGATTTGGACCAAGGAAAGATTTCCCAGGCATACTTCAACTGAGGGCATACTTTATTTTAAAAGTTAGTGATTTTTTGCAATAAGCATCTCATTGGAAAGAATCGCTCTCAACTAACTGGATAGCCAACATTAATCCAAGAAACAGCATATGACAGTGCCATATAATAAGAATATTGGAAAGTTCAAAGCTGTTAATTTTAGTTCCCTGTTACTAGTAAGTTTCCTAAGATGTTTATAATTAGGTAGTCTAAGATAACAATTTAGGCTGGGCGTTGTGACTTACGCCTGTAATCCCAGCACTTTTGGAGGCCGAGGCAGGCAGTTCACCTGAGGTGAGGAGTTCGAGATCAGCCTGGCCAGAGGTTGCAGTGAGCCGAGATAGTGCCACTACACTCCAGCCTGGACAACAGAGCGAGACTCTGTCTCAAAAAAATAAAATAATAATAATAAGATAACAATTCAGTATGTAGTAGGTTGAAGGACTTTATTTCCTAAAAATATCATATTTCCATGTGATACATGGGACAACTGCTTAACTAGGTACCAAACTGTAACAACTTATATATACAACATAACATTTCATTAAAACCAGTATTGGCCAGGTGTGGTGGCTCATGCCTGTAATCCCAGCATTTTGGGAGGCCAAGGCGGGAGGATCACCTGAGGTCAGGAGTTCAAGACCAGCCTGGCCAACATGGTGAAATACTATCTCTACTAAAAATACAAAAATTAGCTGGGTGTGGTGGTGCATGCTTTATAGTCCCAGCTACTTAGGAGGCTGAGGCAGGAGAATTGCTTGAACCTAGGAGATGGAGGCTGCAGTGAGCTGAGACTGCACCACTGCACTCCAGCCTAGGCAACTGAGCAAGATTCCGTCTCAAAAAACAACAATGGCTGGCGCAGTGGCTCACACCTGTAGTCCCAGCACTTTGGGAGGCTGAGGCAGATAGATAACAAGGTCAGGAGTTTGAGACCAGCCTGACCAACAAGGTGAAACCCTGTCTCTACTACAAATACAAAAATTAGCTGGGCATGGTGGCGCACGCCTATAATCCCAGCTACTCAGGAGGCTAAGTCAAGAGAATCACTTGAACCTGGGAAGCAGAGGTTGCAGTGAGCCAAGATCATGCCACTGTACTCCAGCTTGGGCGACAGAGCGACACTCCATCTCAAAAAACAACAACAACAACAATAAAAATGTCTTTCTGTCTTGAGCACAAAACAAGCAATTCTTCACTATTAAATGCAAAAAAGTACCATCTTTGCAGATATAAGAAATCTCTGTGAAGTCATATTTAGAAGCTTCTTGTGGGAGACACTTGCCAGCACAGCAGCCATTCCTCCTCCTTTTGTTAACAGAATCCCAGTGTTTTTCAGGGCAACAATATACTCTGCCTGTGACAATAAATCATGACTAATCTAATAAGCCCATCACAGCAGTTCATTCCCTTTTAGCCAACTTAAGCTCTCCAGGTTCACTTATAGCAAGGGTAGCATGTGACTAAATTCTGATTAACAAAATATTAGCAGATGTCTGTTTCATGACTCCAGGGGAAGATGTTCCTCTCCAACAAAAGGAGAGCCCTAGTCCTCCCAAACTTTTTGCTCTTGCCAGGAAGGCTGATGTATTATGGGATGCTTGGAGCTGCAGCATTCATCCTGCAACCATGAGGACAGGCTAAGAGACTCTCAGGCACCATCCAGAATCCTGACTTTGGTGAGCTGCTGACAGAAAGGCACTTGCACGCATATTTCCTTGATTCTAAAACAAACTCCCCCCTCCCCAATATTTTAATCTCTCAGAAACTTGGATCTTTCTTAAAATCAATGGCATTTTTATAATTATAATGGGCAGTGTTTCCTCTTTCTTATGACAGCACATTTTTAAAAGGTGCACCTTACAACCAATAGAGTTTTTGATTCAATAAAAAAATGGTTAAGTGCCAGGCACTAGGGACACAGAGAATAACCCACAGTCTTCGCCTTTGCGATGAAACCAACAACTATAGTGCAGTGTGATAGTTTCAAAGAAGTGAATGAAACAAGGCAATGAAAACACAAGATGAGGCAGCTAGATCCTACTGAGTAGGCAGACTTTCACAAAAGATTTTTAGAGCTTTTATTTGATTTTTAGGTTGTTCCTTGTTCAGGAATATTTTTTAGCAATAATGTACAAAAGGAAAAATACGTTTGAATATATTGGTATCAACTGAAGGAAACATTTTCAAAACTGGGAAATGACAGTGTTCTACTAAGCAAGATAATTTAGCAACCACCTTACCTGTTTTCTGGTAATTCAACTGGTTTAATCTGAAAGTCTCCATTTACTACAATTTCATGGGCTAGAGCCATGTTGGTGACACCTCTCGCTGTCTCTAGAAGTTCTTCTACTGTCACAAAGCGAGGAGGACTAGCTGTAACAGAAACTCACTGTAAGAGATTTGCTTCCCTGGATCTGAATTTCTACTAAAATAAGAAAACAGTGGTTCTGGTACCAGACAATAATTTCAGTTATTGCGTCTATTAAAATGTTTGTTCTGGCATTTTCAAACAGCAACAGAATGTTACTTCATATTCATTTTTTACCCTTGAATCCTAAAAGCAGAGATCATTTATTAATACTCAAAACATCTGGTTTTTACTAAGACTGGTCAAAGGAAAATAATTACAGTAAACTGAAACCTAGGAAAACTTAAGTTACAGATGATCATCTGTCCCATAAGCTGAGGGTTTATTTTCTAGTCTTTCTGCCTCCTGTCTACCCTAAAAGAAAAAAAAAAAAAAGAAGACACCAGATTTAAGATCTTCTCTTTTGCTCCCATTAGCAGTTTACTTTTGCACTACCACTAACACTGCCACAAATGAATCTCCCCAAATTAAAATAGCATCAAGGCTAGGCACAGTGGTTCACACCTGTAATGCTAGCACTTTGGGAGGCCGAGGCGAGAGATCATTTGAGGCCAGGGGTTGGAGACCAGCCTGGGCACCATAGTGAGATCTTGTCTCTACAGAAAAATGTAAAAACTAACCGGGCATGGTGGTGCATGCCTGTAGTCCCAGCTACTCAGGAGGTTGAGGCTGGAGGATCGCTTGAACCTGCAGTGAGCTATGATCATGTCACTGCACTCAAGCCTGGGTAACAGAGCAAGACTCTGTCTCAAAAAAATAAAAATAAAAAGTTGTAAAAAATTAAAATACCATCAAGTCCTTTAGGGTGCCGATGGTGCTGTTTAAACAATGCTAAAACCACTATCTTGTACAGGATACTGTGACAGAATATGATAGCTCTGCAGTGGTCAATGGACAGATCAAAAGATGTGTGACACAAGAATTTTCTAGAATGCTGATCCAGTGAATCAAAAACTTTGAAAAAGAGTCATCTCTGATTTCTCTCTTTCCCCTGCTCTGTTATCCAAGTCCTGTAGATTTTACTTCTGTATCGACTGCTGCAACGGCCTCAAAATTTGTGTCCATACTTCTCTTTTGATAAAGCTTGAGACTGATCATTCAGAAAGAAGGTTCTAAACCAAGGAACAAAGGGGAATTCTTACTCTTAAAAGCCTATGATAAGGCAAGGCTCACACCTGTAATCCCAGCACTTTGGGAGATCAAGGCAGGTGGACCACCTGAGGTCAGGAGTTGGAGACCCACGTGGCCAACATGGTGAAACCTTGTCTCTACTAAAAATACAAAAATTAGCAGGGCGTGGTGGTGCATGCCTGTAATCCCAGCTCCTTGGGAGGCTGAGGCGAAAGGATTGCTTGAACCTGGGAGGTAGAGGTTGCAGTGAGCGAAGATCACACCATTGCACTCCAGCCTGGGCGACAGAGGAAGATTGTCTCAAAAAAAAAAAAAAAAAAAAGTCTCTGATAGCAATTCTCAAACTTTAGCCTATCATGGAGTCAGAGGGAGGACTTGTGAAAACAGATTGCTGAGCCCACCTCTCAGGGTTTCTGATTTAGCAGCTCTGGAGCAGGGCCAAAGAATCTGCATTTTTTATTTTTCTATTTTTTTTTGAGATAGGGTCTTACTCTGTCACCAACAGGAGTACAGTTGCACAATCATGGCTCACCCCAGCCTCAACCTCTCAGGCTCAAATCATCTTCCCACCTTAGCCTCCCAAGTAGCCAGGACTACAGGCACATGCCACCATGTCTGGTTATTTTTTCTATTTTTTTAAAGACAAGTTTCGCCATGTTGCCCAGGCTGGTCTCGAACTCCTGAGCTTAAGTAAGTGATCCGCCTGCCTCAGCCTCCCAAAATGCTGGGATTACAGGTGTGAGCCACAGCAGCCGGCCCAGAATCTGTATTTCTAACAAGTCTCCAGTTGATGCTGATGGCTCCAAACACCACAGTTTGAGAAGTACTGGCCTAGAAGATGAATATATTAATTTTATGTGATAGTGATAAGATCTGGCCTTAAAATTAGATAAGTAATGTCACTGGTTTGCCCAGGTTTAAAAGATCTTCTTACATTGGTGAAAAGTTATTTTCTTTCCTTTTTCTTTTGCGCACCAAAAAAAAGAAAAAAAAAAAAGGAACCAAATCGAAGAGCTGGTCATATCCTGCCTGGTAAAAAACTTTATTTGGTCACAAGGGGAAGTTGGGAAAACTCAGAATTCTTCCTCACAACATTCTCAGCATTTCCAAAGAATATGAATAAGAATACAGAATAAATAAATCTGGCTTTGTTGATATTGCTAAAATATAGTAAATATCCAAAATCAAAGCCCAATATATCTTTTCAATTAAAAAAATTTTTTTTAACTTTTAAGTTCAGGTGTACATGTGCAGGTTTGTTATACAGGTAATCTCGTGTCACGGGGGCTTGTTGTAGAGATTATTTTGTCACCCGGTTATTAAGTCTAGTACTCATTATTTTTCTTGATCCTCTCCCTCCTCCCACTCTCCAGTAGACCCCAGTGTCTCTTATTCCCCTCTATGGGTATATTATTAAGATGTCAATTTTCCCCAAATCAATCTATTGGTTAAATGAAATCCCAATCAGAAGGCTTTTTTGTTGAAACTGACAAACTAATTCTAAAATGTATAGGGAAACACAAAAGACCTCGAAAAGCCAAAACTATTTTGAAAAAGAAAAATAAAGCTAGAGGACTGACACTGATTTCAAGACTTATTATAAAACTATAACAAGACAGTGTATTTTTCCCATAAGGATATATAGAAATTCAGGGCAGAAAATCCAGAAATAGACTAATATACACACACATATATATATAGGTGGTCAACAGACAAGGATAGGCCGGGCACGGTGGCTCATGTACTTTGGGAGGCTGAAGCAGGTGGACTGCTTGAGGCCAGGAGTTCGAGACCAGCCTGGACAACACAGCGAAATCCTGTCTCTACTAAAAATCATTTAAGCCCAGGAGACAGAGGTTGCAGTGAGCTGAGATTGTGCCACTGCCCTCCAGTCTGGGTGACAGAGCAATACTCTGTCTCAAAAAAAGAAAAGCAAGGATAGTTTTGTTTGTTTGTTTGTTTTTAATCAAATGGTGCTACAACAATTAAGTATCTATATGTAAAAGAATTACTCTATCACGCCTGTAATCCCAGCACTTTGGGAGGCTGAGGCGAGCGGACCACAAGGTCGGGAGAACAAGACCATCCTGGCTAACACGGTGAAACCCCATCTCTACTAAAAATACAAAAAATTAGCCGGGCGTGATGGCAGGTGTCTGTAGTCCCAGCTACTTGGGAGGCTGAGGCAAGAGAATGGCGTGAACCCGGGAGGCCAAGCTTGCAGTGAGCTGAGATTGCACCACTGCACTCCAGCCTGGGCGACAGAGCGAGACTCCGTCTCAAAAAAAATTAATAATAATTACTCTAGATCCTTCTCTCAAATGATAAACAAAAATGAACTCAAAATGGATTGCAGAGCGGGGCATGGTGGCTCATGCCTGTAATCCCAGCCCTTTGGGAGGCCAAGGTGCAAAAATTGCTTGAGGCCAGGAATTTGAGAACAGCCTGGGCAACATGGCGAAACCCCATCTCTACAAAAAATACAATTAGCCAGGTGTGGTGGCATGCTCCTGTAGTCTCAGCTACTCAGGAGGCTGAGACGGGAAGATGGCTTAAGCCCAGGAGGCAGAAGTTGCAGTGAGCCATGACCCCGCCACAGCACTCCAGCATAGGTGACAGATAGAGACCTTGTCTAAAAAAAAAAAAGAATCACAGATAGAAATCTTTGCGATCTTGGATTAGGCAAAGATTTCTTAGATAGGATACAAAAAACTCAAACTACAAAATAAAAAATGGATAATTTGGATTTTATCAAAATTTAAAATGTACATTCCATGATAGACTCTATTAAGAAAATAAAAAGGTTTTTTTGTTATTTGTTTTTTGAAATAGGGTCTTATTCTGTTGCCCAAACTGGAGAGTGGTGATCACAGTTCACTGTGGCCTCAACCTCCCAAATAGCTGGGACTATAGGTGCACACCCAGTTCAGTAGGGATCTCCTGTATATATACATATGTATAAATATATGCTTATTTTTAAATTATTTCTGTTATCAGTTATCAGAAAATGAAACTTCCACTGTGGGTACATCAATATCAAGCATCAGGTGTTATTATCAAGCATCAGGTGTTATTATCAAGCATCAGGTGTTATTAAACTCCACCAAGGTCTTACCCCTTAAGAAGAAACTCAGAGATTATTAGGGCTCCCAAGTTTTTTAACCTTGCTTTTGCAAAAAATTGTGGGGAAAAGAGAGATCAGACTGCTACTGTGTCTATGTAGAAAGAAGTAGACATAAGAGACTCCATTTTGTTCTGTACTAAGAAAAATTCTTCTGCCTTGAGATGTTGTTAATCTGTAACCCTTGTCCCAACCCTGTGCTCACAGCAGAGACCTGTGCTGTGTTGACTCAAGGTTTAATGGATTTAGGGCTATGCAGGATGTGCTTTGTTAAAAAAGTGCTTGAAGGCAGTATGCTTGTTAAAAGTCATCACCATTCTCTAACCTCAAGTACCCAGGGACACAATACACTGCGGAAGGCCCTCCAGCAGGGGCCTCTGCCTAGGAAAGCCAGGTATTGTCCAAGGTTTCTCCCCATGCAATAGCCTGAGATATGGCCTCCTGGGAAGGGAAAGACCTGATCATCCCCCAGCCCAACACCTGTAAAGGGTCTGTGCTGAGGAGGATTAGTAAAAGAGGAAGGCCTCTTTGCAGTTGAGATAAGAGGAAGGCATCTGTCTCCTGCTCATCCCTGGGCAATAGAATGTCTTGGTGTAAAACCCAATTGTATGTTCTATTTACTAAGATAGGAGAAAACTGCCTTAGGGCTGGAGGTGAGGTGCTAGCGGCAATACTGCTCTTTAATGCACCCAGAAGTTTGTATCCGTGCACATCAAGGCACAGTACCTTTCCTTAAACTTATTTATGACACAGAGACCTTTGTTCACAGGTTTCCTGCTGACCCTCTCCCCACTATTACACTATTGTCCTGCCACAACCCCCTCTCCAAGATGGTAGAGATAATGATCAATAAATACTGAGGGAACTCAGAGACAGGGTGCAGGTCCCCTGGGCCCACTTTTCTTTCTCTATACTTTGTCTCTGTGTCTTATTTCTTTTCTCAGTCTCTCGTCCCACATGACGAGAAACACCCACAGGTTGTGGAGGGGCAGGCCACCCCTTCAAAAATAATCAATGTCTTACCATCTGAAATTTATGAAAACAACAGAAATACATCACATCAAGTCCTCTGGGTGAATTTTTTTTTTTTTTTTTTTGAGACGGAGTCTTGCTCTGTCACGAGGCTGGAGTGCAGTGGCGCGATCTCGGCTCACTGCAACCTCCGCCTCCCGGGTTCAAGTGATTCTCCTGCCTCAGCCTCCCAAGTAGCTGGGACTACAGGCGTGTGCCACCACACCCAGCTAATTTATGTATTTTTAGTAGAGACAGGGTTTCACCATGTTGGCCAGGATGGTCTTGATCTCTTGACCTCATGATCCACCTGCCTTGGCCTCCCAAAGTGCTGGGATTATAGGCATGAGCCACCGCGCCTGGCCGGATTTGTTATTTCCCAATAATTTTAGTCATCTGGGTAATAATAGGCACCGTTACTATGCTGCCTAGTCATGAAACACAGTGGCTGGAGCAAATCAGGAAGGAATTTCACTTCCTCTGGACTCTGTTGAGTACGGCCTTGAACAAGTCACTTAAATCTTGCAGGGTCAGTGTTTCTCCATATGCAAAAAGAAGAGACTTAAGGGTGTGCTATGAAATATAAGAATCCTCCGAATTTTAAACAAGTGCATTCTCAGTGTTTTGGGCATACTTGGAAAAAAACAGCTTGCACCAAGTACTAAGAACCTCACCATTAGGAAGAAGAAAATTTTCAGGAACTGTCCAAGTTAAGAGACTACTTAAAATCAAACTTATCAATGACAGGTATCTGATCATGATAGATAAAAGCTACAGTTCTAAGATATGATCAGGACATGTTACCGATGTACATACAGAGGAATTATTCACTGCATACAAATTATAGGGTTGTGGGGATTTTGTTTTGTGAGAGTTCTCAAATTTACCAATTTCATAAATGAAAACTTGGTAAGGATTGCATAAAATTGCATAAAGATGCAATTTGGTGGACAACACGTCTTCACCTCAATTTGTTAAGAGAACCTGGGTTGTAATAAGAGCCATGAAAAATGGTAAGGTCAACTCAGACATGGTGGTGCACACTTGTAGTCTCAGCTACTAGGGAGGTTGAGGTGGGTGAATCACTTGAGCCCAGGAGTTCAAGGCCAGCCTGGGCAACATAGAGTGATCCGGTCTTAAAAAAAAAAAATGTAAAGATACATGTAACTTACCCTGGAGTTTATCTTACGTGATACAAAGCTAAAGTTGTTGCTAAATTTTGTTATTTTGTTACAGCATTTGCGCACTGATGCCCTGTTAGAGAAACTGAAAACCATATTAGGTTAAACATGACTTTAGAGAGGCTGGCAGACAGATTCCAAAATAAAATGAAGTTCTAATTTAGAATGGTTGTACTCTCTATCTTTACTAAGGTGTCCTGAGATGCCTATACACTCTGAAAAGATGCTGTTAGTTACATAAGTGGACGGACATTTATGGAGGGCAAGATTGCAACTGTCACCCAAACAGCTACTATAGAATGAGCACAGTAAAACCAGGGTACAGATTACCCATAGTACTTATTATGTTGTTGGAAACTGCTTGTTAATTTGTCTTCCTGGTCGCTAGCCTGCAAGCTCCATGAGGACAGAGACAATATGTGCCTGGTTCACTGCTGGATCCCTGACATACAGTATGCACTCAATAAATATTTGACTGACTGAATACAGAGACACCATAATTCAAAGTCTAGTCATGAGCTTTAGAAATGTAAGTTCTCGTGTCATCTATTCATCTAAAGATGACTGGGATCTACTAATTAAATTCACAAGGACCTGATCCAATAAACAAAGGTCCTAAGTGGGAGATATTAACTGGAATAACAATTGATGTTTGTCATCTGAATATAGCATCTTTTACTGGTCAACTAGGTGATTAAACGTTAGAACAGAGGGTATTTTGTGAGAAGAGCATTAAAGTATAAGTAGTAGAAGATTTTAGAGAAAACATTGTTAAGTTACAGTTGACTGATCCTTACTCTGTTTAAAGAACAGATAATCTTTTACAATCAAATCACCACCTCAAATCAGTACCAATAAATTTTTTACAAGCCAGCCATTTTTCCTTTTTCAATATTCTGCATCGGTTACATCAGAATTCTACTCTTTTTTTTTTTTTCTTGAGATGAAGTTTCGCTCTTGTCCCCTAGGCTGGAGTGCAATGGCACAATCTCGGTTCACTGCAACCTCTGCTTCCCAGGTTCAAGTGATTCTCTTGCCTCAGCCTCCCAATTACAGGCACACACCACCACTCCCGGCTAATTTTTGTATTTTTAGTAGAAACAGTGTTTCACCATGTTGGCCAGGTTGGTCTCGAACTCCTGACCTCACCTCAGGTGATTCACCTGCCTCAGCCTCCCAAAGTGCTTATAGGCATGAGCCAATGCGCCTGGCCTAGCAACTCCACTCTTAAAGTATTACTCTGTGTTATAATTTAAAACAATAAATGTTCTCTTTTTGCTACTTACGTTTTAATTTGTAGAATTCCAAATATGATTTTAGAGTTACTTTAAACTCAGTAGCTACAAATTTACAGAGTTTGGGGGAAATGTCTGTAAACTGTTAATTCCATATTTTGTAAATCCTTATTTATGCTCTATGTGTTCAATAATGCTTCCTTACCTGATGCCCAGATAATGAGGTCTTAGCTTTATCTTTTGGGTTTATAGCCCTGTACCTACCTAGCACTACAGGAGAAATAGGAAGGCAGCCAAAAGGAATACCTTAGGGCATTGATTTTAAACCTTATTTTGGTACAGACTACTAAGAGAACTTAATGAAAGCTTCCACGACCTTATTCCTAAAAACATGCATATACAAACAAATGTTGATATACTTTTTTGGTTATTACTAGATCCCCTAAATCTTGATCATAGGTCCCAGGATAAGTATTCTTGCCTTAAGGGCATAACTACACACAATTTCAGATAATGTAGCTTAGTACTGGTTTGACATTAATTTGGAATCATGCCATCAGGCTGACAAGATGCCAAAGGCGAAGCCATCAACCAAAGAATGGCTGAACCTATAAAAGTTAAAATTGTTTAAAAAAATTAAAACCAATCAACCAACTGTTGGGAGAAGCTAAAGCAGGGCTTGCATGTCTCACTTAATGTAAAAGAGTCTTGGAACATGTCCAGGGTCCAGGGTCTAAAACCCCTCATGGCCTTGGGAACACCAAGCTCTGTGCTAAAGGGCAGAAGGCTGCCCTGCAGCACCATAATCTAAGCCCAGGGCATAAAACCCTTCGTGGCTTGAATGGAATCCAGGGCTCAGGGCGTGGCCTCTGGAATGTGTCTAGACTTGCTGGCTCCTTGCTTCTAGCACTCCTAGGCTCATAGATCTATTGTATCTTAAACTAGAACATGTTTCCCATTATCTCAAGTAGCAGAACATGTTCCATATGCTGCAAAGAAAATGCTAAACCGTCACAGCTGTAGATCATGTGCTTGATACACTGCTTTCTTTCAACCCCCACATCCTCACCACCTGCTTCTTTGTTTCATCACCAATGAATAGTGCAGGCTTCCAGAGCTCGGGGCCTTCGCAGCCTCCATACTAGCATTGGCCCCCGGACCCACTTTATGCACTCTTAAACTTGTCTTTTTCATTCTTTTGACTCCACTGGACTTCGTCACCTCCACGTTGGGTCTGGCCATCCCAACAACCAACCAACCAATAAAGGGTGACTGAAGACCTAAACCAAAAGTTCTTCTTTAGCAGAAACTATAGGTTGTAAAGCTATCATGTTAGCCATATACATCTACATTACAGCAATCAATCCTGGCCTCTTTATTTTTTTTATTTTTATTTTTTTGAGAGAGGCTTGTCTCACTCTGTCATCCAGGCTGGAGTGCGGTGACACAATCACGGCTCACTGCAGCCTTGACTTCCCCAGCTCAAGTGATCCTCCTGTCCCCGCCTCCCAAGTAGCTGGGACTACAACCACGTGCATGCTCAGCTAATTTTTTTTTTTTTTTTTTGAGACAGGGTCTTACTTTGTCACCCAGACGGGAGTGCAGTGGCGTGATCTCGGCTCACTGCAGCCTCCACCTCCCAGGCTCAAGTGATCCTCCTGCCTTAGCCCCACAAGTAGCTGGGACTATAGGCATGCACCACCATGCCTGGCTAATTTTTATTTTTTGTAGAGATGGGGTCTCATTATGTTGCCTAGGCTGGTCTTGAACTCCTGGACTCAAGTGATCTTCCTGCCTCAGCCGCCCAAAGTGCTGGTATTACAGGTATGAGCCACCATGCCTGGCCAATCCTGGCATCTTTAAATGCAATAGATGACATAATGTTAGTAGCAATAGTAGTAACAACAACTAATGTTTATTAAGCATTTATTACCTGTGAAGCACTGTTCTAAGTGCCTTATAGGAATTCATTTAATCTTTACTGCTACCCCAAGAAATATTGTATTTTCCTCATTTTAAAGACAGGAAAACAGAAGCTTTCTAACTACACATATTGGAGTCAGGCCTGACAAATGCATGATAGACTGTGCTAGCAACAACATGTTTCCTTGGACACAATTTGACCTAATAGTTGATTTATTAAAATCTATGTGATAATAAATCAGAATAAAATAGGGTCCATTAATGTTTGCTAGAAGAATAGTATGTTGACTAATAAATTGCCCGGGAAGGGCTTTGATCATTTTAGAAGAAACACACCCCAAAACCCAAAAATGTCTGTACTTTTTCCAAATACGTACAACTACTGATCATCTACAATTTAAAGGGATAACATCAATACCGACATTCTTAGACTATGACATTCCCTCTTAAAAACTTGCATTTTTGGACTCACTTCAAAATGCTTAAGGTACTCTTCATAAAAGACGTGAGTTGAGGCAACCACTGGGAATGCCTGAAGATATTGCCACCCTTTCATTTAAGAGGCTTGCTCCTTGCCAGGGATCTGAAATGACTTCACCACACACATTTAGCAAACTGAATCCCCTCAAGCTTGTGGGAACTAAGCCCCCAGGCAGAGAATTAGGGTGTGGTGAACTTACTCACATTTTTTTTTAACCTGCACAAGCACAGTCCTGGCTGGAATTAGCCTCAGACTTTTCAAACACTCTTTCAATACAAGCTGCAATTTATACTCCACCCTCCTATTTCTCAGAGCACTTCAGAGACTGGAGTGTCACTGAGGCTGGAGAAAGACAGGAACGTTCTGGACATTATTCTAAATTGTTAATTTCCCATGCAATTGAAAATCCACAAGTAGCTAGGCTGCCAGCTGAGGAACTGCTATTATTCCTAAATGCTACATTGGCAATGTTATATTATTAGAACCTAGCTCACGGCCACATGCACAAGGAGGCCTCATAAAACCGTCACCTGAAAACAATGACAATATTGCATCTAACCAAAGTCAAATTTGCTTACAGTGAGGTCTCTGCACTCTTTGGGGGCTGGAGGAGTCTGACTTTATTGCTTTTTGTAAGGCTTCATCAGCACCTTCCACAGCATCTTCGAGGCCTTCCTCAGAATCATTGGATTTTGATTTTCCTGCTTCATTTACATTGGACTTGTCAAGGTTTTCAGACATTCTCAATTAAGTTTATTCACTTTCCTAGGAAAGAAAAAAACAAAAAAAAAGAACTAAAAGTATTCTAGCTCTGTCACCAACTAGCAATGTGACTCAGGGCAAATCATTTAACCTCTTTGGGTTTCAGTTTTCTCGTTTGTAGAATAAATGAGCTTGCTAAGATCTTATCCAGCTATATTCTACTTCAATGACTAAACAGATACTTGTAAAATGACATTTGTAATTTATCAGATTTCTGGATCTCACGTAGTAGTTAGTTGGAATATTTTTGTCCTACTCCTAAGTAGCATGTTTCAAGAATACAGGGCCTTAAACTATTAGAAGACACACTCTAAACTACCTGCTGCTACAATTTTAATCAGTGATTCAATCTTAAATTCTTTACTTTCATTCCTAAGAGCAGATAGGTAAACTCCTTGGAAATAATGCTTTTAATTGGGCTTACAAGTGAATACACTGGGCTAAAGGGTTGATTCCTTGATATTATCATGTGAATAAGATACCCAGAGATGACAGAAACTAGAATTTTTTTTTTTTCCAGATGGAGTTTTGCTCTTGTTGCCCAGGCTGGAGTGCAATGGGGCAATCTCAGCTAACTGCATCCTCCGCCTGCTAGGTTTCAGCAATTCTCCTGCCTCAGCCTCCCAAGTAGCTGAAATTACAGGTGGGTGCCACCACGCCCAGCTAATTTTTGTTTTGTTTTGTTTTGAGACAGAGTTTCGCTCTTTCATCCAGGCTGGAATGCAGTGGTGCGATCTCAGTTTACTGCAACTTCCACCTTCCGGTTTCAAGTGATTCTCCTGCCTCAGCCTTCTGAGTAGCTGGGATTATAGGCGCCCACCACCATGCCTGGCTGATTTTTGTATTTTTAGGAGAGATGGGGCTTCACCATGTTGGCCAGGCTGGTTTCGAACTCCTGACCTCATGATCCACCTGCCCTGGCCTCCCAAAGTGCTGGGATTACAGGCGTGAGCCACTGCGCCTGGCCTAATTTTGTATTTTTAGTAGAGACGGGGTTTCACCATGTTGGTCAGGCTGGTCTCGAACTCCTGACCTCAGGTGATCCACCTGCCTCGGTCTCCCAAAGTACTGGGATTACAGCCATGAGCCACTGCGCCCTACAGAAAACAGAATCTTATGAAATGTTTAAGAGGAATGTGTGGGGCAAATATTTTTATTACCTTCTTGCCAGTAATTAGGAAAAAGATTGTGAGTAAGAAGCTGCAAACAACCATAATGTATGCAGTTGGGTGGGCTTTTTATTAGTTGCTGATCAGAATAGCAATAACACTTGACACTGTGCTTTGGAGCAGTTAATAAAAGGTCTGCCTGGGCCTCCCAAAGTGCTGGGATTACAGGCATGAGCCACCGTGCCCAGCCTAAAACAGGCCTAAAACAGGCGGATCATGAGGTCAAGAGATCGAGACCATCCTGGCTAACACGCTGAAACCCCGTCTCCACTAAAAATATTAAAAAATTGGCCTGGCATGGTGGCGGTGCCTGTAGTCCCAAATACTCAGGAGGCTGAAGCAGGAGAATGGCATGAACCCGGGAGGCAGAGCTTGCAGTGAGCCGAGATCGCACCACTGCACTCCAGCCTGGGCAACAGACTGAGACTCTGTCTAAACAAACAAACAAACAAACAAAAAAACCCTGTTTTAATTACAGTAAAAGTTTTAGTCAATTCCTCCACTCTCCCTTTTCCTAGGGTGTTTCTGGGAGAGAAGACACAATGTTTCTGCATTTGCTGAAAATAATTAACATTTGTAACATCAGCACTTGAAGATCACAAAACATTTTCATAAACACTAATTAGACTTTCTTACACACATGGAAGGTAATCAGGTGATCAAAAGAAATGTCAACTGATTTAGGGAGTTTGGCAGACTGTGTTCTGCATATTAGAGAGAGGTGAAGAATCACCTGATAGAATTATGTGAAATTTCAGAGAACTCCATTAAATAGAATGAAGTTACTGGGATTGAAATATTCAGGCCTGTTTTTTTGTTTTTTTTTTGGGGACAGACTCTTGCACTGTTCCCCAGATTGAAGTGCAGTGGCACCATCTCGGCTCAGCTCACTGCAACCTCTGCCTCCCAGGTTCAAGGGATTCTTCTGCCTCAGCCTCCCCAGTAGCTGGGATTATAGGCGCCCACCACCACGCCTCGCTAATTTTCGTATTTTTAGTAGAGATGGGGTTTCACTATGTTGGCCAGGCTTGTCTCGAACTCCTGACCTCTAGTGATCCGCCCGCCTCAGCCTCCCAAAGTGCTGGGATTATAGGCGTGAGCCACTGCACCTGGCCCAGGCCTGTATTAATATGAAAGTTGTTTTCATGTATTTTCCCTTTCGAGACCCATCTTAGCTTCCAACACCCCACTGGAGACACCCATCTCCTCTGTGTCCTAAATCCTATTAGGGTCAGGAAATGCTCCAAGATCCAAAGGATAACATTACCAGCATATTCTGTGAGAAACGACAAACAAAACGCTGCTAATTTTATTATCTTCACATGCTGAGAAGGAGCCCAGGAGGGATGAAGTAATTCATTCTGTGCAGTGAGGAGGAAAGGGAGGATTTCTAGGTCTCTAATGCTCAGCTTAGTAAACTAACCCCATCCTTAAGATTGAGTTCAAGTCCTGTCTCTTCCCAGGACACTTCCCGGACCTCACCAGTGATTGCACCTTTCTCAACTCCTGCAGGGCTGGCTAGTTGACATTTGGCATTTGTCACTGCCTTAAATTCAATTCAAAGCGTGCTTATTTAAATAGAAAGATGCAAATACATAGTCTAGAGGGGGAGGCAGACAGGCTTACAAGGAGCCATAATGAAACTTAAGTGGCATTATGAAATTGCCCAGGGAATATAGCAGAGGAAGAAACTAACTCTGCCTGGGAGGAGATTGAGAAAACCTTCCCAGAAAAGATGACATTTGAACTGATCTTTAAAAGGAGTAGGATTTCACCTAGTTAAAACATGTCTGGAGGGGGAGAGGAGGGGGAGAGGAGGTGAAAAGGAGGGCATTTCACTCAGAGGGCAGAAGCCAAGGCACAAGAAAATGAGAAAAGGAAGTGGCTAGAGATGATGGAAAGATGCGTTGGGGCCAGATGGTAAAAGTGCTAGTTTTTATTTTAAAATTCCCCACCTAGATTTCGAACTTCTTAAGAGCCAGGACCAGTCATATTCCCCACTTATGCTCCATCTGTATATCCCCCAAATAGACACCCACAAGTATCTGTTGATAGAGATGAATCCCTACGTCATCTCTGTGATGTCACTGTATCTGGGAGGCTGGGCGTTGGTTTCAGACATACCTGGGCCCCAATTCTGGCTCTTTACTAGCTGTGTAACTTCAGTGTCCTCCTCTGTAAAACACAGCTACCTACCTGCTCGGTTTGGGGGGAGATGAAACGAGGGATTGTGCACGGCAGGCCTTCTACAAATGGTAACTCTAATTAAAGGGCTCTAGGATGCGGCCACGAACCATTTAATTTGCTTATATCGCGCGCATCCATTCAACCCCCACTGTGTCTAAAAAGAGAGCCGAGGGGAGGAGGATCCTCGCACTTGCCAAGAAGACGGTCATCCGTCGGCGCTGCACGCGGGCCTAGGCTGGACACAAGAGGCTCCCCAGCAGAAAGGGTCTTTCGGCAAAAGAAAAAAGGGGCTCTGTCCCCCGGCGCCGGGAATCCCCTCCTCTGGCACTGAGCTCCACTCGCGCCCGGCGTCCGGATTCCGTTGTAAACAGCTGTTCAGGCCAGCGAGGGAGTGGCAGGGCCGGGAGTAGGGGAGGACGCGGGCGCGCCGAGAGGACAGCCTCGAGGGGTGAGCTCCACCCGCCCGCGGACCCCGCCTCTTCCTCGCCTGCCCCCGACATCCCGGGATGGGATCCGACGGGAAGAGGCGAAGAGATGCCTGCGACTTGGACCGCGCGCCTCCCGGACGGGCCCCGCCAGCCTCCGCCCCAGCTCCCGCTCTCACCTGCCACGGAGTCGGCGTTCTCCCTCCTGCCGCTCCCGCCGCGAATCAGGCGCGGGCTGGCGCCGCGGCGGAAGCCGGAGGGATGCGCGGCAGGCAGGGGCGGTTCAGCCTCTGCCCCTCCGAGGCCGCATCCCTCGCCACGCGGCGGGCGGTCCTCCCAGCCCGACTCGGGTGGGCAGCGGTCAGAGCGGCCGCTTCTCAGCATCAGGAAGGAGGAGACTGCTCTTGGCCGGGAGGCGCCAGCCCAATATAGGGCAGCGCCATGTCTTCGTACGGAAAGGCGGGAGGGTCTTTCCCCTGCTTGCCGAAGGGGTTCAGTAAGCGGTGACTCGCAGCTGGGCGGCGCCGTGTTTCCTCAGGGAGAGGTGGAAAACATGGCCGATGACCGCTCAGGGGGCTCCGTGGCCAGTGGCTCCCAGCCAAGAGTCGCCCGCCGCACGCAGTGAGGCGCCATGTTTTCGTACGGAAACGCGAGAGGCATGGCCGAGTGCCCGCCGATGAGTCTCAGCTGGCGGTGGCTCGAAGCTGGGGATGGCCCGCCCCTAGGCGCCATGTTTCCATACGGAAAGACGGAACGCGCGCCGCATCCCAGCCGCTGGTGCGGGTGACGCGAGGAGAAAGGGAGGCGGAGAAGGCGCGGGTCAGTCAAAAGAAGGAATAAGAAGCCATTGCATCTGAAACCTTCCCCGCCCGTTCTTTGAAATTTAATTTTGCCATCCTGTTTGTAGCTACACAAAGTTTATTCCCCTTCTCTCATTTCCTCAGCTTTAAAAAAAAGTTAGTCCGGGCGCAGCAGCTCACGCCTGTAATCCCAGCACTTTGAGAGGCCGAGGCGGGCGGATCACGAGGTCAAGAGATCGAGACCATCCTGGCCAACATGGTGAAACCTCGTCTTTACTAAAAATACGAAAATTAGCTGGGTGTGGTGGCGCGCGCCTGTAGTCCCAGCTACTCGGGAGGCTGAGGCAGGAGAATCGCTTGAATCTGGGAGGCGGAGGTTGCAGTGAGGCGAGATCGCGCCACTGCACTGCGGCCTGGAGACAGACCGAGACTCTGTCTCAAAAACAAACAAACAAAAAAAAACTACAAAAAAGCAGATGGGGTGACATTGGTGCTTTCAAACACTGCTTCTAAATAGATCACATGTGGGTAGTTATTGCTAACGTATTGAAGGCCGAGTGCAATACCAGACCCTCAAACCATTTACTAACTTGCACATTAAAGTCTTTGCTTTAAAAAAAAAAAAAAAAAGACAAAAACAGAAGTTCTCTGGTGAAGATTCACTTTTTGGAGGAAAAAACACCAAAAACCCTTAAGATACTCAACTAAATGGAACTGTTAAGATCTACAAAGAATGGCTGGGCGCGGTGGCTCACACCTGTAATCCTAGCTCTTTGGGAGGTCGGAGGTGGGTGGATCACAAGGTCAGGAGTTCGAGACCAGCCTGGCCAATATGGTGAAACCTCGTTTCTACTAAAAATACAAAAAAATTAGCCGGGCATGGTGGCATATGCCTGTAATCCCAGCTACTTGGGAGGCTGAGGCAGGAGAATTGCTTGAATCCGGGAAGCAGAGGTTGCAGTGAGCCGGGATCGCACCACTGCACTGCAGCCTGGGTGACAGAGTGAGATTCCGTCTGAAAAAAAAAAAAAAGATCTGCAAAGAAAACATGCAGTTCTTCTGAGTCTAAACTCGTACCATTAAGTCTCTAGTGTTTTTCAGCCCTGACTACAAATACAACTTGGAATCTCAGGGGCAGGGGTTGGAAAAGTATCATCCAAAACTCCGGGGAGGGTGATGCCAGACAAGTTTTAAAAGCTCCCTGGGGAAGCAGGCTAGAACCTTCCTTAAAAGATTAATATGGCTGGGTGCAATGGCTCACGCCTGTAATCCTAGCTCTTTGGGAGGTCGAGGCGGGCGGATCACCTGAGGTCAGGGGTTCAAGACCAGCCTGGCCAACATGGCAAAACCCCGTCTCTACTAAAAATACAAAAATTAGCTGGGCATGGTGGCAGGCGCTTGTAATCCCAGCTACTGGAGAGGCTGAGGCAGGAGAATCCCTTGAACCCAGGAGGCAGAGGTGGCAGTGAGCGGAGATCGCACCCCTGCACTCCAGCCTGGGAGACAGCGAGACTACATCTCAAAAAAAAAAAAAAAGGTTAATATAACCAATTTTCACTTGGTTAGGAGCAAGTGAATGAATATACTCAAGTTCCACCTGGAGAGGATACTGCAACAATACCAAAATCACTGATTTAATTTGGGATATTTCACTTGTAATCTTTTAATGTTTTGTACTGTTTCAATATTCAAAAAATACATATAGACACATTCCATTTTGATCTTTGGCTGCAAGGACTGGAAATTCAAATTACGTTAAGGTAAAGGGAGTTCACTGCAAGGACATAGGACTTGGAGGGAGAAAGGTGGCAGCCACTCTAGAGGTCGGCTACTGCTCCTGTACACACAGGATCCCTCTTGTCACATCTCTGCTTGCTGTAGTCCATTCCACTCTTTATGCTACAGGCTGGTTTCTGTACTTTCTTAATTGACGCGCCTCATAATTTAAATTTACCTATATAGAATTTGATTGGCCAAACTGATTTTTGAACAAAGTTAGTCTCATTAGCCTCCAGGGAAGCTGCCCTTGGATCAGGTGCTCAACCTTGGTCTACTCTGCTAGGATGATGGCAAGACTTACGGTCAACTAGGCATTAGGTGTCTATGTGGGAATGGGTCCCCAAGAAGGCGTCATGGGTGAATGAATGAGAGCACACAGCAAAAGATAATCAACAGTTCTAGTGACTGAGGAGGGTTGCCCAAGGCTTTCAAGGTAGCACTGGACCTGTAGTTTAAAACCTTGACAATGGTTGCAGTAAACATGATCGATTTTTCTTTTTATCCTCCTTATAAGGCCTAAGGTAAATTGATTTTACTAGTATATTTTCCCTGAAATTATCATTCTATTAGAATGTTGCTTCTCCTAGAAGCATGAATGTAACTAAGCAGTTCTGCCTTCCCCTGAAGGTTGTCAAATAAATATGCTATTCAATTATGTGCAAAATAAAGGTTACAAATCAGATAGCACACGGTTGCTCTGCCCACCGTGCTGATCTCACCACAGTTCCAGTAGCTTGTTTCTGAAAACTTCCTCTCACATTTAAATCATAAACTTATCTTCTTTTTCCCCTCACTGTAAAGAGAGCTGCCTTCCCCTTTTTTTTTTTTTTTTTTTTTTTTTTTTTTTTTTTTTTTTAAGAGGGAGTCTTGTTTTGTCGCCCAGGCTGGAGTGCAATGGCACGATCTCGGCTCACTGCAACCTCCGCCTCCTAGGTTCAAGAGATTCTCCTGCCTCAGCCTCCCGAGTAGCTGGGATTACAGGCACCCGCTACCACGCCCAGCTAATTTTTGTATTTTTGGCAGAGACGGGTTTTCACCATGTTGGTCAGGCTGGTCTCAAATTCCTGACCTCAGATGATCCACCTGCCTCGGCCTCTGAAAGTGCTGGGATTACAGGCGTGAGCCACCACGCCCAGCCCTTCCATTCTTACCTATCCAAAAAAACGGAGTTATTCCCTGAGTTATTAGAACTGGTATCATAGGTATTTTATAGATATTAGTCCTCAACCTTTATCTACTTAGACTAGGCACTATCAGTTATACCTAAGGGGGAAAAAAAAACATTACTGACATACTAACATATTGGTGCATCATTTCAGTTTTCCCTACCTCTCATTAAAGTCAGTTAAAAGACAAAATTCAGTATTTAATCTTTTGGCTCTATTACTATTAGGATGAACAACTTCAAACTGTATTATATTGCTTGTCTATTTATCAAATACAGTTGACCCTTGAACAATGTGGGGGTTATGGGCATCAATCCCCCTGCACAATCAAAATTCTACATATAAGTTTTGACTCCTCTAAAACTTATTAGACTACTGTTGGCCAGAAGTCTTACCAATAACAGTCAATTAACACACATTTCGTATGTTACATTATATATAGAGTGTTTTTTGTTTTTTGTTTTTTGTTTGAGACATGATCTCGCTCTTTCACCCAGGCTGAAGTGCAGTGGCATAATCATGGTTCAATGCTGTTTCAACTTCCCAGGCTCAAATGGATCCTCCCACCTCAACCTCCCAAGGAGCTGTACCACAGGTGCATGCTACCATGCCTAGCTAATTTCTTTTTTTGGGGTGGGGTGTTAGAGACAGGGTCTCTCTACATTGCCCAGGCTGGTCTCAAGCAATCATCTCGGCTTCCCAAAGTACTGGGATTACCGTTATGAGCCACCGTGTCTGCTCTAAATACTGTATTCCTACCTTAAAGTAAGCTAGAGAAAAGAAAATGTTATTAAGAAAGTCACAAGGAAGAGAATATATACTATTCAAAGTGAAAGTGGATCATCCTAAAGGTCTTCATCCTTGTCATCTTCACATTGAATAGGTAGAGGAGGAGGAAGGCTGGTCTTGCTGTCTCAGGGGTCACAGAGGTGGAGGAGGTGGAAGGAGAGGAAGGAGAGGCAGGAGAGGCAAGCACACTTTGTATAACTTCTGTTTTTAAAAATCCAAGTGGACCTGCGCAGTTCAAACTTGTGGTGTTTAAAGGTCACCTGTGTATCTTCACAGTGCACTCATTCCAAATAATGATTAACTTGGTTAAAAAGGTATTAAAAACTTTAGCTCTAATGCCCAATTTACAAGAACTATAGGATACAAAGGAACATGATAAAGGACAGCCCAGACTTGTCATCAGAAAAATTCAGACTGAGGAAAACTCAAGAACAACTGACCAAGTTTATTTAACAATAGAGACATACACACAGACAAAAAGACAGAGAGGGGAAAGGTGGAAGGAGAAAGGAGTACTTACATTTTTATTTATTTATTTATTTTTTTGAGACAGAGTCTTGCTCTGTCACCAGGCTGGAGTACAGTGGTGCGATCTCGGCTCACTGCAACTTCTGTCTCCTGGGTTCAAGGGATTCTCCTGCCTCAGCCTCCTGAGTAGCTGGGACTACAGGCGCGTGCCCCCACGCCCAACTAATTTTTGTATTTTTAGTAGAGACGGGGTTTCACCATGTTGGCCAGGATGGTCTCGATCTCTTGACCTCGTGATCCGCCCATCTCAGCCTCCCAAAGTGCAGGGATTACAGGCATGAGCCACCGTGCCTGGCCAAACTTACATTTTTTTTTTTTTTTTTTTTTTTTTTTTTTGTGAGACAGAGTCTCACTCTGTCGCCCAGGCTGGAGTGCAGTGGTGCATCTCAGCTCACTGCAAGCTCCGCCTCCCGGGTTCACGCCATTCTCCTGCCTCAGCCTCCCGAGTAGCTGGGACTACAAGTGCCTGCCACCACGCCCAGCTAATTTTTTTGTATTTTTTTTTTGTAAAGAGGGGGTTTCACCGTGTTAGCCAGGATGGTCTCGATCTCCTGACCTCGTGATCCGCCTGCCTCGGCCTCCCAAAGTGCTGGGATTACAGAACTTACAGATTTTTAAAGAGAGACTTAAACACACTAACCAATTGCAATTTATGGACATTATTTGAATCTCCATTTGAATAAACTGTCAAAATCATTTGAGATCATCATAAGATTTCAACACTAACTGCAAACCTGATTGATATTAAGGAGTTGTAGGTTTATGTGAAGGACAATGGTTTCATGTTTTTTTTTTAACGTTCCTTTTTGTCATACACACTGACATTTTATAGAGGAAATGATATGATATCTGAAATTTGCTGGGATGAGTGAGGAGTGAGGGAGGGTACAGATTAAACAAGATTGGCCATGAGTTGGCAGTTGGCAGTATTAGTTAATGGGTACAAGCAAGAGTTCATTACTCTATTGTCTCCACTTTCATGTATGTTTGAAATTTTCCACAATAAGCTTAAAAAATTTTGTTTTCGGAAGCATTAGGACAGTCTGATTTCTGATTTGTCTACAACTTAAGGTAATCAGCAAATTCTTTTTATTATAACCTAAGTTTCTATCTTGCATCTTTAAGGAGTACCTTTCAAAACACAAACCCCACTCCTATTAACATGTAATTATCGTTTTCTTTACTGTTTAATGCTTTCTTATATAAATACTGCAATGTCATCTAAATCTCTATTATGTTCTATAAAGCACTGAGCACAGTAATTATAAATCAACTCAAGTACTTAACAGCAATACACCATATGACTAATAGCTTCTGACACACGAAGTTATACAAAAAAATTTTTATTAAGTACAGTTTCAAATTTAGAGCTTCCACGCTTACAAATGTGATTGGATATTTAGGATACATAATTTATTCTTAAAATACACAACTTATATACAGATATTAAAAACTCAGTCTCCAAAATGCTCAATAAAGATGTCTGGGTGACACTTATAGAATTGACCTAGCAATTTTTTCTTCTCTTTGGCAGAAAGTTTTGAATCCTCATCAAGAGTTTTTAGTAAATTCAACAGCTCATCTTTGGTTGTCTTCTCTGTATTGTTGGAATAGTCACGTTGATCAATTCTCTGGCAATAAATATATCCTTAAAGTTTAAAAGTAAAAAGTTCAGTTAATGACTCAATTCCTCATATTTAAGCAGAAAAATCAAGCAATATTCTTGTCTTTATGTTTTTCTTCCCCATTTTGTAATATGCACTGAAGATGGTAAGCACTGCTGACTTTCTAACACTTGTAAAGTTGCTTTGTATGAATAACTCTGAGGAGAATGTTTTAAATTTGGTTGAAATTAAAGTCCAACTACTTATAGCAAAACATTTTCAAAAAACACCTGAAATTTGTCTTTGGAAGATCATGAAAATAATATTTCTCAGATTACCTGCATCTCTATTTGGATCTCTTCCGTTCTGTATGGCCATAAGCTTAACACTTACAATTTTATGTAGAGTTCCAGGAATCTTAAGAAAAAGAAGGGACATGGGACATTATTCAAATGCATTTTAATCTAGTGATCTATTACATAAGCTCAATTTAACTACTTTCACAATTTTACCTTAAAAACATCTTTCTGATGATCCATTAAAAAGAGTACCAGAAGATCTGTTTTGCCTTTGGATAAATTTTTATTGTCAACAATAGCTTTTGAGAATATCCTTTTCACAACCATTCGGTTGTCACTCTATAAAAATAAAACAAATATATCCAATAGTATATATTTAAGAGACAAGTTTAATATAAAAGGGAATATTAAATATTAATAGCTATTATACATTTCAGCATACTTGATGCTGAAGATGGAATAATCTAATACTTAACCTGTAAGTATTAAGGATATTAAATACAACTAACAGTTAAACAAAAGACTTACTTCTTTCTGTAATTTAAACTCAGAAGGATTTGCTGCAACAGCCATGAAATACAGTAGTCTTCTAAATTCTTCTCTATTTTGGAAATCTAAAAGCTTTAGAAGGAGCTGGGTAGCTTCTAAAGCTATTTCCGTCTTCCCATTCACTTTAGCCAAAAGAAAAAAACTGCTTTTAATTGACCAAATATGACTATATTAAAGGGAACAAAACTCAAGTTACAGTTTGAGTTAAAAAGTGCACTTATTCAAAATTATTTCCAAAAGCAAAAGCAAGACTAGGAATTAACAATGAATGGTGAATACCATAAAGGCAGCTTGTTCTCAAATTGGCAACTAACAGCCTAAGTCCCTGTCATATAATATCTTCTGGCATTAAATCTAACTCTTAGCTTTGTGGATAAAATCCCATTCTGTTTTTCATTAATTCAGTACATTTGGGAGTATACCATGTGTACAATACTCATGTATCCAACTCTCCTTGAGAAAAATAAGAGAAATTTTCTGAAACCTCCAATTTGTTTCCAACAAATTATGTGGCTCATTGGTAGAGAGACAAAGCAGAGAGTCTGCCATTTTGAAGAGATTGAAAGGGGAGTAATGGTGGTGCTGATAACTCTTCTAAAAAAAGAGAATTGCTGCTTTATGCTTAAGCTTCCGGTGAATGAGAGCAGCATTATACTCCTGGGTAACCAGAAGTTTCTGCATAACTTTAGAGCTTGTTAAAGCCTCTTTCCAAATGACCCCTAGAAGTTTTTGAACAAACATACTTTCCATGAATTAATCCAGATCCACTCCCAGCTTGTAGTAGTACTATTCTGGTTCAGTTTGAGAACTAACTTTTTCTTGTTTCCTCCAAAAGATAAATGCTAGTATCCAGTTAGATCTTACTTACCTAAGAGTTCTGCAATTCCATTATGAACGTCAGATAAGTGATTTAACAGAGGTTCCCTACTACTGTAATATCTGCCAATGGCATCAAACAGAAGTTCTTTCACTAAGTCTGTTCGGTCTGGTTGCTCAGGAAAGCTTCTGCTTATTTCCACCACCATTTGGTCTGGAAGGTATTCTAAACAGTCAATTGCTGCCGAGAGCCACTCATCTTCCCTATAGGGGAGAGGGGAAGATTATTTAAAAGGCAAGGGAAGATTATTTAAAAGGCAAAGAATAACAAATATACACATGGTACCTAATTCAGTAGCTATTTCAAGCCATCAGGATAAATTTCTACATGAGCTTAAAAGATATGTGTAGTTCTTTTTAATATATAGCTAGATCACGTATCACATTTACAAATTCAGCTTAATGTTTTCCCTTTACTTTTTCCTTTTTCACGAAAACAAACTCTCCACCACAACACAGAGGTGAAAAGAGCGTACAAATTCAAACTCTACTCTTGCTCTTCACATTTACGATGGAGACCCAGAAACTCCAAGTTACTTGCTCAGGCCTCAGGCAGGACTAGATCTCAGATCTGAGTTCTGGGCCAGTATTTCTCCAACACAATGTTGCTTACTTCAGACCTCTGTCTATGATCTATTAGCTCTCCCTTTAGCTAGGACAGATTAAAGGAAGAAACATTTCAAAATAATTACACATCAGGCCTGGTGCGGTGGCTCACACCTGTAATCCCAGCACTTTGGGAGGCCGAGGCAGGTGGATCACATGAGGTCAGCAGTTCGAGACCAGCCTGGCCAACAGGGTGAAATCCCGTCTCTATTAAAAATGCAAAAATTAGCTGGGTGTGGTGGTGCGCCCCTGTAATCCAAGATACTTGGGAGGCTGAGGTGGGAGAATTGCTTGAACCCAGGAGGCAGAGGCTGCAGTGAGCCAAGATTGAGCCACTGCACTCCAGCCTGGGCAACAGAGCGAGACCTCATCTCAAAAAACAAACCAACAAAATAATTAAATATCAATTATCATCTACAGTAAAATCCTGCTGGGTAACTTCAGAAAAATGTTACATTTCAAGAAATAAAGTAGTAAACTTTTAATATTCCATTTTTTATATCTATCTATCTATCTATCTATCGTTAAAAAGCAATCAATCATGTCCTCTACTGCCATACTGCCATGGACTCAGGACAACTAATTCAGCCAGGTGAGGTATCTCAGGCAGGTCATTTCACC
This sequence comes from Homo sapiens, assembly GCF_000001405.40. NCBI lineage: Eukaryota > Metazoa > Chordata > Mammalia > Primates > Hominidae > Homo > Homo sapiens. The sequence goes on along the minus strand of NC_000011.10, from coordinate 33,030,354 downwards.
TCTCTTGACATCAGCTTCAACTTTATATGATAAGATGATCTTTAAGGTCACTTCTAGCGCAAATTCTGATTTTGTATATAAAAATTACTAATTACAAGGCTGGGTGCAGTGGCTCACGCCTGTAATCCCAGCACTTTGGGAGGCCAAGGTGGACAGATCACAAGGTCGGGAGTTCAAGACCACCCTGGCCAATATGGTGAAACCCCATCTCTACTAAAAATACAAAAATCAGCCAGGCATGGTGGCGTGCGCCTGTAGTTCCAGCTACTTGGGAGGCTGAGGCAGAAGAATCGCTTGAACCCGGGAGGCGGAGGCTGCAGGGAGCTGAGATCATGCCACTGCACTCCAGCCTGGGCGACAGAGAGACTCTGTCTCAAAAAAAAAAAATTTAGTAATTACACAATGTTTCACATGTTCCTTTAGGTTATAGAAATGTGTTATATCTGCAGAATTCAGTAACACATATGTTGGGATTAACTTTTTCATATAAGGCTTTAAGCTGCCTTTTGGCATTCAACTGTTTATAGTATTAATAGTTCTTTGGAACGTAGAATTAGTGAAGTACTGAAAATGTAATTGTATTCCTTTCAAACATTTTCATCTCCTTAATTAGACTGGAACACTATCTGCTAAGGCAAAATAATAAAAAATTAAGCTAGAAAAATCTGATAACTTATTTTAACCGACAATAATTTTTATAGAAGAGCCTCAAAGTTATGAGTAATACAGAACTCGTCTTTAAGGAAAAAAAAATTTTAATTCCCTCAGCACCTAAAGTTAAGCCTTCAAACCTTAGGATTTATATTCAAGAGAGGAGTAACTGGAATGAGAGAGTTACTTTCATTTTTTTTTTTTTTTTTTTTTTGAGACATTCTCACTCTGTCACCTAGGCTGGAATGCAGCAACATGATCTCAGCTCACTGCAACCTCTGCCTCCCAAGTTCAAGTGATTTTCCTGCCTCAGCCTCCCAAGTAGCTGGGATTACGTGCCACCATGCCTGGCTAATTTTTGTATTTTTAGTAGAGTCGGGGTTTTACCATGTCGGCCAGGCTGGCCTCGCACTCCTGACCTCAAGTGATCCACCCACCTCAGCCTCCCAAAGTGCTAGGATTACAGGCATGGGCCACCGCACCCGGCCTTATTGTATTTCTTTAATACAACTAGTTAACTAAATACATATGTAACAGGCATTCTAGATATGTAATCAAAGGATCTCAATAATCTGTCAAATCTGTTTCTATTCTTCCAGGTCCCTTTGAGGAAATCTTGAGAGTCCAGACAGCTCTACATTTTAACAAAGATAAGAAGCTAAAGCATAATCATTTTTTTTTCACTTAATGTGCAAGTTACATGTGAAACAAAAATGAATATGAAAAATGAAACAAATCTTTTTCTAATTTTGACTAATGTAATTTTGTTCTTCACATTCTCAAATACTGATAATATCAACTAACAATGCATATCTGATCCTATAGAAAAAAGAATAGAACAGATTACCTTAAAACCATTATCTCAATCTACCTACAAACACACTCAAATTATTATATGTATTTCCACATACTGAGAGTCACTATAAGCCTTGAGAATCCCTCGATCCAGATAGTTACTGCTGTTGACCATGGTGGACTGCCTCTTAGGTTGAGGAATTTTAGGTACAGCCTCTTGCTGTTTCAGTAAGGAGTCAAGAAGTGGAAGGTCTACAAGTTGTAGTAGACGCCCAATTGTTTCTTCTTGCCACACTTCATTAATAACTACACAGGAAAAATGACAAGGTGAAAAGTAACAATTAATAGTTACTATATGCTCACCATAATATTTTTCTAAGCAGGTCTAAGCTAGTAAATTTGTGGCCAAAAAGAAAGAAAAAGTCAACCTTACGAAGTGCTTTCTTATAACAAAGTAAAACAATCCAAGATTTGTTTAGAGTGTAGGAGAATAGGCTTTGGACAACAGGAATTCTTTTCATTCTTTGTACTGTAAAAAGCAATCTGTCAGAGATAAGAGATCAAGTCATGTAACATGTTAATAAGGACTCTGGAAGAAAGAATGATTCATTCAAGCTAAAAACTTGTTTGAAACTATTGGTTGCAGATTATTCCACTCAGGGTTTCCACAACTGGAATGGGGGAAAGGGTGGAAATTAAAGTCATTAAACTATATTCCATTGCTACAGACAAGGAAGAACCGAAGAATTCTGTTAATGTTTTAATGTAATTTTCAAATTTTACTTGACCTAATAAAATCTTAGGAAAAGAAACATCGGAGAGCATATTTTCAATACAAATCTGCATGCAAAACATCTCAGATCTGAACCTTTGCCAGCTGATCGGACAAAAGTCAGTGTTCAAGAGTTCTAACACTGATCTATTTGTTAAAGATAATAGACTTCTGTTAAAATTGAACATAAACAGCTTTAATACATAGTGCACTCTTTCTCTGTACTTTGAATATTTAAAATCTAATAAAGATTAAGATTAAAAAATTTTAAATAACTTTGAAGTTTGTCTTCTACTTCTTACTTTGCTTCATCCTTAGCTTACCTTGTGGAGACAAGGTTGCAGAGATATTTACATGAGGGGAGTTGGCAGGCTTTAAACTCAGATTTTCCCACAGGTCCTCTAAACTGGCTGATCTGATATCGGATGACTTAAATAATGCATCTGCATACCTAAAATGAATTTATTTCAGAAATGAACATTTACTAAGCCCACAGAAATATTTTAGTATTTGAGAGCTAAGAGTTTTCTACAGAGTTATGCATTTCAGAGCAAAAACACAACAAATCCAAATTCTAAGAGTAGAATAAATTATAAAAACACCCACCTTCTTTCTCAAGCATAAACATATTCTGTTCTCCTTTGAATATTTTCTTAGATTTAACTAATTCAATGACTAAAATCTTAGTCACCAGTTTAAAAATGCGATCAAACATAACTGGACTTCATTATGCTTACTGGGTTTATCAGTTATCTTTTTGTGGGGCATTCTTTGGTGAACAGTACTTATCGTTTTCTAAATACAGATCTACAGCCCTTTACCTGCAATTCTGAAACCCAAAAAGCTTTGAAAATCAAAGGTTTATTTAGAGCTCATATCATGACAAAATCTGTCCCAAGACTATGATAGCTTTAATTTATCCCGGTAGTATATTCTTTTGTTTACCACGGAAATATCATTATGCTTGATTACCAGATGCTGTCCCAGATGCCTCCAGGGATGGTGAACCACATAAATGTACAAGATAACTTTTCTAAATGCTCCAAAGTTCCAAATTCCTAAATGCATCTGGTCCCAAGGATTTCAGATAAAGTGTGTGGACCTGCATCTGAAAGTTTTGACTGTGCCTTACTTTATCCTCATATTTCCTTTCTACACAAAGAGGTAAATTTTATCATGTTTTAGTTTGGGTCAAAACATGTAAAAATGGGCCAGGCGCAGTGGCTTATGCTTCTAATTCCAACACTTTAGGAGCACAAGATGGGAGGATCACTTGAGCCCAGGAATTTCAGACTAGCCTGGTCTTGAACCATAATGGGATTCCGTCTCCACAGGAAAAAAAAGAAAAGAAAAGAAAAGAAAAAAAATTAGCCAGGCATGGTGGTGCAAGCCTGTAGTCCCAGCTACTGGGAGGCTAGGATGATCGCTTGAGCCCAAAAGGCAGACAATGCAGTGAGCTGAGATCACACCACTGCACTCCAGTCTGGGTGAGAGGGTAAGACCCTGCCTCAAAAAAGTACACACACACGAAAATGAATACACTAAAACTCTGACTTTAGGTCAGATCTGATATAAGAGCTTCAATTATACCTCTGTGTCACCACTGCACAGTTTAGCTGAGGGTAACAAAGGGGAAAGGGTAAAGTTGGTTTACTTCATGACAAATAGCTGTAAGTTCATTATGCATTATCACCCACATCCATTTCAATCACTGGATTCCACAATTCTGTCTCCCCAGTTTCCCTTTAAATAATTCCTTCTTCTCTCCCACCGCAATCTGGGTTTCTCTCTGCCTGCCTTCGCTATGTTCTCATACCAAGTGGTATGAGAACACTTTTTACACTGCAACTATAACCTGAAGCAGGAAAATCAAAGTGTGTTGACTGCTTCTGCTAAATATAAAATATGACTAGGAGACACCCAATAAAGCTAACAAAATTTCATCGCACTTTATCAAATTTACCCACAGACCCATATTTTAGCCACATTTACTGCTAAAAATGTAATATAAAGCCAGTAGGCATCTCATAAAAAGGTAGACAAAATCCTGCCAATATTCCCGTGATAATCTAACATTATATACCAACCTGGCAGGTGAATATAGTTTGTTCTCTTTGCCTAACTGACTGTCTTGGTTAGGTATTGTGGTGAATCTATAAAGGCTGCAACTACTATCTTCAAATGTAGGTTTTTTGTCTTTTCCAAAGACTTTGGTTGGAACTGCTTCAAATACTTTGTAGTCCATAAGCGCTTGACACACTCTCACCACTTTGGCTCGAGGAATATCTACATCACCAAAATACTTATTCTGAATTAGGTGAGAAAAAATGACATCCACAGCTTCTGAACCAACAAAGCAGTCATTATGTCGTTTTAAACGGTGCCTTCGTTTTTTCACTTCCACTTGTGTTTGAAGAGTGTTTATGATGCTGCTCCATACATACGTGGCTCCAAATGGCTTCTGAGCTACACTGAAACCTAGAAGGAGAAAAATCATAGAGAAACTGGGATTTAGTACCTTGTTCATTTGTAATAAGGTCTAAGCAATCCTTAGGCAAAAATGTGGTAATTTCCAAAGTTATTGATAAGGAGCAATTATGAGGGTAGCTTACTGAAATACTGTTTTAATAGCGATTCATTTAAAAATTTGGTACTTATATGCCAAACACTGTTCTATATGCTAAGATGCAACAGTAAGCAAAATAAGATTCCTGTTCTCAGGAACTTAAGACTTTGTAGGAAGATAAAGACAATCCATACGTGTTAGATCAATGCTGAGAAGAAAAATAAAGCTGGATAAGATAAAGAATGCGACTTTAAATGGGATGTCAGGATAGACCTGTGTGATAAGGTTATACCTGAGCAGAAACTCAAGTAAAACCAAGAAGCAAGAAGCAAGCTGTGCAGACATCTGGGGAAAGAGCAAATGCCCTGAGGTGGGAGTGTGCTCTGGTAGGATAGGAGGGAGGTCCGCACAGCCAGAGTGGTGTGGGGAGGGAGAGAAGAACAGGAAGTTAGATCAAGGAGGGAGAGGGGCTGGAGTTTGAGACTGGGAGTTAGGAGGACACATCAAGTAGGACCTTGTGGCAGTTACCAGTTATGTATAAGGATTCTATTACACATCTTATGTAAATTATCTAACCTTCAATAGCAACCTATGAGGTACGTATCATTTCCATTTGAGAGATGGAAAACAGAGTCACAGAGGTTACATGGCACTTCCAGATATTATATTGAAAGAGGTAGTACTGGGACTTAGCTCATGTTTTATATGATTTTGAAGTACTTATGAGTCATACACACACACACACACACACACACACACACACACACAGAGTCATGCATCACAAAACAACATTTCTGTCAACGATGGACCACATATAACAGTGGTCCTATACAATTATAATGGAGCTTAAAAATTCCTGTTCCTATCTCTTGCTGTACCTTTTCTATGTTTAGATACACAAGTACTTATCATTGTGTTACAATTGCTTACAGCATTCAGTATAGCTCTGCAGGTTTGTGGCCTAAGAGCAACAGGCTACACCACATAGCCTAGGTGTGTAGCAGGCTATACCATCAAGGTTTGTGGAACTATACTCTATGATGTTTGCACAACAATGAAATCACCTGACAATACACATTTCTCAGAACATATCCCCGTCATTACACTACGCATGATTGTATACACACACACACACATACACATTGATACACACAATCATTGCAGGAATAAACTAATATTTTTAAAGCCTCCTATTATGCAGGCTTATGAGTTAAATACTTTGTATGCGCGGTAAAGTAACAATTTGGTTCCTGCCCTATAGGAGCTTATGACCTATTGCAAAGACAGAGTACGCACAGAAGAAAGCAAGATTTTTGCCAAACACAAAAGGAGAAAAACAAACTTTCAAAAATATCCTATCACATTTTTCCTCATTGTAATTAGCAGATATTTGGAAATCAATAGGAAAGAAATCAGGTCTTGGGTTTTTGTAAACCGATGGAATGGATTCCAGTGAATCACTCACTTGGTGGCTGGCTGGCTCCCTCCCTTTTTTCCTTTCATAAAGAGTAGGCCCTTTAATGTGTTACACTTTTCAGTGATCCTCTGAAAATTCAGCAGTCTTAATTTAAGCCCCCATTTATGTTAAGTATATTACTTCCTTTATTTTTAGATATTTTGGCAGAGAAGGTGAAGTTATTACTTCCTTTAAGATCGTCTAGAAAGGAAAACCATATGCATGAGTACAATGGTAAGGAAAAAAGGGAATTATAATTAAAGAAATTGCTACTTGAAATTATCTTCCTACTTTTTTAGGCAAAATAGAATGTTTAAGATGAAGAAAGCATAAGATAAGCTCCTGAAGGACATTATTAAAACTCCTTTACAGCCTGCCGAAGGTGGTGAAACCCTCTCTACTAAAAATACAAAAATTGGCCGGGCGTGGTAGCAGGCACCTGCAATCCCAGTTACTCAGGAGGCTGAGGCAGAGAATTGCTTGAACCTGGGAGGTGGAGGTTGCAGTAAGCCAAGATAGTGCCACTGCACTCCAGCCTGGACGACAAAGCAAGACTCCGTCTAATAAATAAATAAATAAACAAAAACTCCTCTTAGTGCACTAGAGCCATAAATTATAAGTGGGTCATTTGAAATTCATCTCTTACGTTGCAATAAATATAAGGAGTACACTGAACCACTACACTGATTTCACTTGTAGCATAATTCTGTAGCTACTAGCAATTTAAACATCTTTATAGTGAAAATGAATAGCATATACACAAATACACAGTCCTTTATTGTTTATTTGTATATTTCTAATACCAAAAGTAGATGGGTAATTTACCACCTACCCATTATTATAACGTTGGTTTAAAATGATCAGCAAGATTTTTTTTTTTTTTTTGAGACAGAGTCCCTCTCTGTCACCCAGGCTGGAGTGCAGTGGCGTGATCTCGGCTCACTGCAAGCTCCGCCTCCTGGGTTCATGCCATTCTCCCACCTTTAGCCTCCCAAGTAGCTGGGACTACAGGTGCCCGCCACCACGCCCGGCTAATTTTTTGTATTTTTTTTTAGTAGAGACAGGGTTTCATCGTGTTAGCCAGGATGGTCTCGATCTCCTGACCTCGTGATCCACCCACCTAGGCCTCCCAAAATAAGCAAGATTGTTTTTAATTGTCAAAATTGTATTTTAAATTTGAAGATATTTCATAAGCCAGTACTAAACAAAGATGGAAGTAATTGTTGCCAGTCTTCCAAATATAATGTGAGCTATTTCAGGAACTGAATTATGGAGAATTGACTAAATAAATCAAGCTGGAATTAGATCTACTCTTGGTACAGTATTTAGTCTCTGTTGAACAGAGCAAGAATGAGGCATTTGATGGAATCTCAGAGTAAGTCCAGGTCATTTCTGGTATCCAGAACTCAGGAGTAGTTGTACTATTTCCAGCCACAATGCCTAAACATTGTTAGCGACTAATATTCTTAACTTCCTAAAATACCAGAGATTATAAATAAGATTTAAAATAAACAATTTCTGCTTAATTTTTCAAATCTTTATTATTAATAGCTAACATTTGAGTATTTACACTATGACAGGCTCTGTCTTCTCGCATTTAATTCTGATAAGCTTCTCTGCAAAATGATTATTAATAATCCTATTTTGAGGAAATTGAGGCTCTGTGAGTTAAATGTGCCCACAGTTACACAGCTGATAAATATATACTAGTGTTTCCTAGTACTTAAACATAAATATATGAAAAGTCAGCCATCAGATAAGTTGTTTAAGCATTAACCTTTCACTGGAAACTTGGATTAAGTGAAACAGCTTTAAGAGAGCCAAGAGATAAAACAAACTCTAAGAACCCTTAACCAAGCTATTTAAAAACAGTAGTCACTACTCATAAAATAAGGCAGGATATCATAAATTCTGTAATAAATACTACCACAGTACACAGGGTAAGACAGGAAAAGGAAGACATGCAAGATTCAAACTTCAATCAGACTGCCTTTTAAGAACCAATGAGACAGACTTTTGGACTAGTGATAATATAAAGATGAAACACATAAGTCATAACACTTGAGCTATAAGTAGGTTAGCACACAAATCCTAAATGACAAGGCTGAGTCACTTATTAATTACAGATCAGTAAGACAGCTGAAGAGGGCGGTGAGAGGGGATATTTGGCCTCAATGAGTAGAAAAGGCTAATCTTCACAGAAGAATTAAGAGGTAAAGAATAAATTTCCCCATATTAACTTGTGGGAAATCAGGAGGTTCTGCAGGTTGTATAACACTGCATAAAAGATTAAAGAACTAGTTAGAGCAGGAGAGTAGACACCTGTGAACCACAGGTTTCCAGAGTCCTCCAGGCATGATACAATGCAGCCCTCACAGGTCCCCTCTGTTCTCACTGACCATTAATTCCCAACCATTGCATCCTGGGATATTTCCCTTCAAGCACCACCACCCACAAACTAGCTCATGTTCATACAGATGCTTTCATACACAATGTACCCTGGACTTGACAAGTAAATGTGCCAAAACCCATACCAGGATAACCTGCTTTTTAAAATGCTGACTTCACCAGCTGAACATATATGGTTTGAAACTTATTTATCGTCATTTAAAAGCTGAAATGAATATTGGTATAGCAGATCATGGCCCAGTAAGATGACTTACTGTGATTTCTAAACAGGATTTAAGAGACCAAAAATAGACAATGAATGTTTTTTAAGTCTTGCAATCAGAATTAAGGGTTCAGCTTGTCCTCAAACCTCACTTTCATATGAGCTAAACAACCTTTTAAAATCCATCACTATCTACATCTTGATGCTTCCTTACATTTGGTCAAGCATTTTCTTTTTTTTCTTTTTTTTTTTTTGAGATGGTGTCTCACTCTGTCGCCAGGCTGGAGTGCAGTGGTGCGATCTTGGCTCACTGCAACCTCCAACTCCCTGCTTCAAGTGATTTTCCTGCCTCAGCCTCCCAAGTAGCTAGGATTACAGGCACGCGCCACCACGTGCAGCTAATTTTTTTTTGTATTTTTAGTAGAGACAGGGTTTCACCATGTTGGCCAGGATGGTCTGGAACTCCTGACCTCGTGATCCACCCACCTCGGCCTCCCAAAGTGCTGGGATTACAGGTGTGAGCCACCACACCCAGCCTGGTCAAGCATTTTCTAAAAGCATCATAACAAATGGAATCAAAGAGTTTAGAGATCAGCTGTAAAAACTCTGGATAAGAGACAATCTCTGTAAGTAGGTTTCTTTATCTACTGATAAAATAGTTGAACACAATATTTTAGGTTAGTTTCAGGTCTAAACTGCCAGGGCAGGCACAGTGGCTCATGCCTCTGACCCCAGGACTTTGGGAGGCCATGGCGGGAAGATTGCTTGAGGCCAGGAGTTCGAGGTTACAGTGGGCTAGGATCGCACCACTGCACTCCAGCCTGGGTGACAGAGTGAGATCCTGTCTTTAAATAAACTGATTATAGGAATGTAAAGACTGAAATTATATCTCCTCCATTTAGATAAGGACATTGAACACCAAATATGGCAGATCTATAGGCAAGAAAGGAAGCATATGGACAAATTTGACCCTACCAGATACAAAACCTTTTGGAAGGTTGCCTAAGGAGGCTCAGGAATAATTTGATTATCTAGCCTTCAACACATAGTCTCAAGCACTATATAAATCTAGGCTAGTTAACCTTCATTTTTCAAGCAGTCTCATCCTTATTTGCTTGAAAACAATAGCTATTTTTCAAAAGCTGCCCTTCACATGTATTTGAACTCTACCATAAAAAACGTTTACCAAAAGTAAAAGTTAAACTTCTAAGATAATATTGAACACTTATATATACGTGTAGTACCAGTAATAATCATCCTCACTTCTAAGAATTCACACTAAATAACTGAGTCATAATAATTCCCTAAAAATGTAAAGAAATTACATTTACCCAAAAATTAGGGATAATCAGCATCAACCATAATCCACCCTGTCAGCAACCCTAGTCCTACTGTGAAAACCTATGAAAACCTATTTAAAGGGAAAACAATTGTATAATCACTTCAAATAGTAAGATTATATTAAATCTTTAGAAGTAGATCAATATACACATTATAAAATTGGATCCCAATGTAAGGTAAACATACACACAGAATTAATAAAACACACTACCTCTTAATGAACATATAACAAATTTGTTTCCATTCTCGGTCTTTAGACTGGACTTAAAAAAAAAAAAAAAAAAGGAACTGAATCCAGACAGTTGATGTTTCTCCATAAAACTTTTAAGAGATGGTGAGCTAGTGCCCGATTTCTTTCAGATTTCCTAGCGGTTTACAGAGGTTTAAATTATTTAATTGCCTTACAGATTGCCTCAATATAATACAATTGGTTAGTCAATATTTGTTAGTTGTTAATTATTGCTAACTACTAAAAAACTTACTTTTTTTTCTTTTTTGAGACAGAGTCTCACTTTGTCATCCAGGTTGGAATGCAGTGGTGTGATCTCGGCTCACTGCAACCTCTGCCTCCTGGGTTCAAGCGATTCTCCTGCCTCAACCTCCTGAGTAGCTGGGATTACAGGTGTGCGCCACTACACCCAGACAATTTTTGGATTTTTAGTAGAAATGGGGTTTTGTCGCATTGGCCAGGCTGGTCTCAAACTCCTGGCCTCAAATGATCCACCTGCCTCAACCTCCCAAAGTGCTGGCATTACAGGTGTGAGCCACTACACCCCGTTCATAAAAAAAATTTTTAAAGGAAGGTTAACCCAGTGGTTCTCAGTGGGTGATTATACCCCCAACAGGACATGTCTGGAGACATTTTTGATTGTCACAATGAGTGTGGGTATTGCTGGCATCCAGTGGGTAGAGGGATGCTACTAAACATCTTACAATGCACAGACAGCACCCACAACAAAGAAAACGTCAGTAGTGCCAAGGTTAAGAAACCTTGGGTTGACTGAATACTGTTCAGACATGGAAACTTGAGTTAACGCAGCAGACACAGTGCTAGGTGCTGTGACTACAAAGAGTTAGACCAGTGTGGACTCTGCAGTCCCAGGGACCTGAGTTCCGTTGTTGGGTCCATCATTTACTAATAACACGATCTTGGGCAAACTGCCTAACTTTTCTGTTGCAAAACAGAGCTAACTCCACTTCTCTCACTCATTGCGAGGATCATGAGACAATATGTTAATGTGTCTCGCAAAATGTCCAGAAATTAACAGATGTATCACTAAAAACAAAAGGAGCAAACTGTCACAGTCTAGAAGAGTAGATTCATTACATGACAACTGAATGTAATATAATATCTTGGATGGGATCCTGGAAGAGAACATTAGGCAAACACCAAGGGAATCTAAGTGTGGACTTCAGTTAATAATTATATGTATCAATATTGGTTCATTAATTATGACAAATGGACCATACTATTTAGTGAATCTAAAATTTTATTTTAAAAGTAGAAAGAAAAGGGAGGTATCTTTCTTCCTCTTCCTTCCTCTGAACTCAGAGGACACAGTCCCCAACCTTAGGAGTTTACCTTTTATTTACTCCTACTACCTGGATGATAATGTCAAGTTCTGAATAGTATTCAATCACATAAAGGCCAACAGGAGATGAGAAGACAAGATGTGACACATACCAGAGGATTTAACTTTTCATCAGAAAATAACACATCTATAAATCCTAGACCATTTAGGATTTAAGAGAATTTTAAGAAAGATTTTTTCAAAAGAGGTTTTAAAATATTACTCACACAAAGAATTGTCAAGACAACAAAGAAAAAGGACATTTGTTGGATAGTAACCAAAACCTCATGAAAATATTAATAGATAAATGTAAAGAGAATTGTGTTTATGGTGTTAAAACTTGACAGTTGTGACTGAGTGGAAAAATTTTCTATACTATGATCCCAAGATTACAACACTTTTACTGGATATTGGTTCTGGTAGTCCAAAGTTTATTTTCCTGCTAGTTGGCATTAGAGGCGTCATGCTGAAGACTGCGATTGCCTCTGAAAAGAAGGCTGCAGGTAGGTAAAAGAAGTCTACCAACAAGAAAAATTTACAATATCTACGAGAATTATCAGCAAAAGCAGACATTGGTCTCTGCTTTAATTCACATACATTAATGAGACAGCATATGGGAAGTACTTTGAGCTCCCTGGAAAAGTGATACCAGGCAAACTCAAAGAATTAGGTTACAGTATAAAGGGATAACAGGATAACAGACTACTTTCTTGTTTGTCGTATTAAAAGACAAGTGTTTTTGACATACTGGCTGAAGACTGGCATATAGATCTCATTTCTTGTACATAAATCAGGTCCCTGGTCATTACAGCCCCTTTAAGGTAAGTGAGAGTTACTAATCGGTGGAGAAACAAAAGTACAAAGCTGCCTGCCAGAGCACACAGAAAGAGAATGGCAAAGAACCAATAACCGTGTGCTCCCACTACCTTGCTCACTGGAACTATGACAAGGCAACTAAAGGGTGAAAGAAAGGCTAACAAATGTTACCAGGTCGGGATTCCAGCGGTAGCAAGCAAAACGAGTGAGAACAACAGCGGGCCCCTCTCCGTCCACTGCAGCTAGTGTGCCGAGGACAGTGTTCCTTTGATTCCTGATAACCAGCACTTCAACTCTTCCCTTAGAGAGTTATCTACTTAATTTCTGAATACATACTTCCTTACACCATCTAAGAACCTGTTCACAAATGCCCAAAGCTCCAGAATTGGTATTTCAGCTATTAGAGAAAACAGGGTACCATGTTTTTATTTTAAGCAGGTGACATTTGGGAATTTCCTTCACTGAGTAAGTGGGCCCAAAAGATTTCTCAAGACTGTTTTCAATGTCATTTGGTTTTAAATTCCCAAATGTCTTAGCATTTGTCTTCTCTTCACAACATAAATCAAGGAGACATTCTCAATGTGGCCACTATGTGCTTACCTGAATCCTTTACATGGAAGCAGACTAAGGTCAATATTATGATTTTTCTTAGAAAAGGACAAGTGAAAAATGGTTCTCTACCATAATCTGTCGTTAGCATTTTGAAGATTAAAATGAGCATTAGTGAGTAAGTCAAACACAAGAGTGGGGCCACTGAGAAGCACCCATTTGACCCAGAGGAAGGAATCACAGTTTCACTGGTTGGTGTTTTTACAAATGAAAGGCTTTTGTCAGAAAGGGAACTAATTCCTACGACATCCCAGACTGGAGCTCCAGAAAGGGGAAAAAGTTGTAACTTAACCAAAAGAAAAAAGCCAAGGGTTATCTGAGTATCTTAACAGTTATCTGAGTCACCCCTATTAACTGGGTTGTAGATCTGCTATAACCAGCATTTTAGAAGTGATATCCGATTCTCTTCATGTGTTTGAACATTTAAAGAAACCAGAATCCTAAATCAACTGCCCCCAAAAGACACGATTAGGCCCGTGGCAGAATTTGCCAACTTCCCTCCTAATTTCATGTAACTGTTTTTTTAGCCAAAAACTTCTATTCACTAAAATACTGCTTATACATAAAGTGTTAATAAATACCTTTTATGCCAAATTCCTGCCAGTAGAACTCACATAAACCTCTCATCCCTCCCAGGAAGAGTCTGGGGAGACAAGCTGACTCTTGACTCCTAGCAGTCTGGAGAACAAAGTGGGCAAGGGAGGAGCTCGGCCCCTGGCCATACTGTGTCGTCAAGGTTTGTGGTTGAGACAGGGGGCAAAGAACTACACAAATTCCAGATACCACACTTGTCACCGGTAGCACCGCGGAGCATATCCCGGAGCTCCCCGGCGCGTGCCTGGCACGTTAGCGGGCGCACAGACCAACGCGCGGTCAAGTTGAGAGTCTGGGTAGAAAGAAAAAAGCTGGGCTGTGCGGGCGGGCTCTGCCGCTTGCAGCCCACCAGCCAGAGAGGAACTCGATCCGCCCGCTCGGCGGGGGCGTTGGCCAAGTGGTCGCAGCTGTGCTGTGCTCGCCCAGCCGGCCGTTGACAGGCGCAGGCGGCCGAACGCCCCACGCCGCCCGCCCCGCGCCGGGACCCAGCCCGCGCACCCCAGCCCGCCCCGCGCCATCCCAGGCGGCAGTCCTCGGCACCTACCCGGAGGCCTGTGCGCGGGGCTGTGGAGAGCCGAGAGGTTCAGCGCAGCAGCCTTCTCCTGCACGGTGGCCATGGCCCTTGCTCCCCGGACGCCAACTCCTCCAGCAGCTTCACAGCTCCCTAGCTCCCTGAGCGCCCGTCTGTTAACTGTGCGGGGCGTGGCTCCCTGCAGGCCCCGCCCCCGCTGCCGGTCACGTGTCTCTCTGGCAACCACTGAACGTAGCCCGCGGCGCCAGCGATCCAAGTTTCCTCGGGCGCGATGCCACGCGAGCGGTGGTCGGGGACAAAGCGGTTCCCTGGGCCGGCACTACGCGGCCCGCGGCTCACACCAGCGGGATTCGAACCGCGGCCTGCCGTAGATTAACTCGGGACCAGGCCGGGCGCGGTGGCTCACGCCTGTAATCCCAGCACTTTGGGAGGCCAGGGCAGGTAGAGCACCTGAGGTCAGGAGTTCGAGAGCAGCCTGGCCTACATGGCGAAACCCCTTCTCTACTAAAAATACAAAAATTAGCTGGGCTTGGTGACAGGCGCCTGTAATCCCAGCTACTCGGGAGGCCGAGGCACAAGAATCGCTTGAACTCAGGAGGCGGAGGTTGCAGTGAGCCGAGATCCACCACTGCACTCCAGCCTGGGCGACACAGCGAGACTCCGTCTCAAAAAAAAAAAAAAAAAAAAAAGAAATAGAAAAAGTCGGGAACCTGGCAAGCTGCCTAACTGCTCTGTGCGTCGGTGTCCTCACCTGTGATGCGGGGGTAGGTTTAGTACCTGCTTCACTGAGATGTTTGTTTGTTTTTTAACGAGGTTTATAGGAACCAATTCAGGTTCAGCATTTAGTAACTGCGTCCGGAACGTAAGTGCTTAAAATTATGTCATAGTAGTAGTAGTAATAGTGATAATAACAATAATAATCGAGTTTTTCAGACATCCCTACCTGTGCAGAACAAACAAATCCTATGTGGCCCAGGAGAGCAATGTCTAGAGGTCACAGGAGGGCAGCAACGAAAGACCCTGGGACTGGCTGCCAGGAAATCTGTGCTGCCTCCAAAGGAACTGTGGGTCGGGTGGGTAGGGACAGTTTGCTGCCGGTTGGAGTGAAGGTGAGGAGAGAAAAGGAGGAAGGGCTATTAATGGGACACATCTTAGTTACTTGGAAGTTGAAGCCAGGCCAGGGATCCAATGCTGGATACCTCTGAAAGGATGAGTGGTCTTAGAGACCAATAATCCAATTGCCAGACACTTGCCCTTTTTTTTTTCTTTTTTTTCAAGTTTGGGAATTTTGCAATGATTTTCAAAACGATTATGACGTCTTCTTAGAAGGAGGATGCTTGTGTGATTTAGGTGTAAATTAGAATGGTGTTTAAGTGGGAGTTCATTATTTAGCTTATTGGAAAGAGCTTCTACATGGGATTGTTTCAGAGAATACATACTAAGAAGCTGCCCCTGGGGACTTGGGTTTGTGGGTGGGAGGTGGGGGCCAGTTGCTGCTGCTTAGTGTTAGAAAAAGCTGGCCAGGCACGGTGGCTCACGCCTGTAGTCCCAGCACTTTGGGGGGCCCGAGGCAGGGGGATCTTCGAGGTCAGGAGTTCGAGAACAGCCTGGCCAAGATGGCGAAACCCCTACTAAAAATACAAAAACTGTCCGAGTGTGGTGGCAGGCACCTGTAATCCCAGCTACTTGGGAAGCTGAGGCAGGAGAATCGCTTGAATCCAGGAGGCGGAAGTTGCAATGAGCGAAGATTGTGCCACTGCACTCCAGCCTGGATGACAGAGTGAGACTCCATCTCAAAAAAGAAAAAAAAAGGTTGCCAACCAGTTGGCAACCTTTTTTTAATGTGACCTCTTCCCCTGATGGTAGTAAAACCCTGCTTTACTTCTGTTTAAGGATTTTCTTTGTAATCTCTCAATTGGCTGCTACACACAGAAAGAGGATGCATTCAGGGCTGGTTTCAGGCACCCAGTATACCAATGAACTTTATCCCGTGCTGTATAACTGAATGAACACACAAGTCCTCCCTCACTGCATGGGAGGGGGGAAAAGCTCATCTGTCTCAGAAGACAAATCTTGAAAAACACTAATATTTGAAAAAGCTTGGTGACCTCAGTGACCATTTTGATACTTTATATAACATTTCAGAGAGTTTTTCACCAGGTTATGCAATAATTGTTTACCTCTTCTGGAATGCTGAAATGTTCATCTCTACTCAGATACTTTCTACAACCATGGGATAGGAAATGCCTATCCCTTTTCCCACTTTCTTCCCTGGACAGATTTTTCCAGGTTACCCGGGTGTGTTTTTTTTCTCTGAGCACCTGTGGCACTTATCAAATGCATTACTATTCATCTCCTGCTTGTATTGATACTCTCTGATTATTACAGCACACACATATCTTTTTTTATTATAATTTAAGTTCTAGGGTACATGTGCACAACATGCTGGTTTGTTACATATGTATACATGTGCCATGTTGGTGTGCTGCACTCATTAACTCGTCATTTACATTAGGTATATCTCCTAATGCTATCCCTCCCTGCTCCACCGACCCCACGACAGGCCCCAGTGTGTGATGTTCCCCTTCCTGTGTCCAAGTGTTCTCATTGTTCAATTCCCACCTATGAGTGAGAACCTGTGGTGTTTGGTTTTTTGTCCTTGCGATAGTTTGCTGAGAATGATGGTTTCCAGCTTCATCCATGTCCCTACAAAGGACATGAACTCATCCTTTTTTTATGGCTGCATAGTATTCCATGGTGTATATGTGCCACATTTTCTTAATCCATTCTATCATTGATGGATATTTGGGTTGGTTCCAAATCTTTGCTATTGTGAATAGTGCTGCAGTGAACATACGTGTGCATGTGTCTTTATAGCAGCATGATTTATAATCCTTTGGGTATATACTCAGTAATGGAATGGCTGGGTCAAATGGTATTTCTAGTTCTAGATCCTTGAGGAATTGCCACACTGTCTTCCACAATGGTTGAACTAGTTTACAGTCCCACCAACAGTGTAAAAGTGTTCCTGTTTCTCCACATCCTCTCCAGCATCTGTTGTTTCCTGACTTTTTAATGATCGCCATTCTAACGGGAGCACACACATATCTTAATTGCCTAAGAAAATTGGAAAATTGCCGGGTGTGGTGGCTCATGCTTGTAATCCCAGCACTTTGGGAGGCCAAGGCTAGCAGATCACCTGAGGTCAGGAGTTCGAGACCAGCCTGACCAACATGGAGAAACCTCGTCTCTACTAAAAATACAAAATTAGCCAGGCGTGGTGGTGCATGCCTTCAATCCGAGCTACTTGGGAGGCTGAGGCAAGAGAATCACTTGAAACCGGGTAGTGGAGGTTGCAGTGAGCTGAGATAGCGCCATTGCACTCCAGTCTGGGCCAACAGGAGTGAAATTCCATCTCAAAAAAAAAAAAAATTGGAAAATTGTCCAGGGCATGGAGCATATTTTAACCTCTTGGACTTCTTTCAGCATTTGTGCATTGCTGGGCAAATAGTAGATGCTCTGATTGTCCCCATCAAAATACAGAGCTTTAAAAAATATCAGTTTCCTACTTTTTAAAGTTTAAAGTTTAGTAACTTCTAATAGAAAAAGTTCTTTTAAAAATCCCACCTGGGTGGTGGCTCATGCCTATAATCCCGGCACTTTGCGAAGTTGAAGCAGGTGGATTGCTTGAATCCAGGAGTTTGAGACCAGCCTGGGTAACATGGCGAAACCCCATCTCTACAAAAAAATACAAAAAATTAGCAGGGCATGGTGGTGTGCGCCTGTAGTTCCAACTACTTTGGAGGCTGATGTGGGAGGATCGCTTGAGCCCAGGGAGGTAAAGGTTGCAGTAAGTCAAGATCGTGCCACTGCACTCCAGCCTGCGTGACAGAATGAGACCCTGTCTCAAAACAAAAACAAAAACAAAAACAAAAACCCTTTCATAACTAACAAGTATCACAATCACACAGTTTATGACGTGAAAGGAAATTTCTTTCATCCCTTTCTGATTAATCAGTGCACAGCTGCAAAGACTTTGGCCTTTTTTGTTTTCAGTGCCATAAAACTACCAGCAGCATACACCCAAGCTGTAATCTTTGCATAGTATTTTTTATTTTCACTTACAGAGTGCTTTAAAACCACTTTTATTGATTATTTCACCAACAAGTGTGTCAAGTCAGTATATGTTTAGCATATGGGAAAAACTTCACTTGATCTAAGCTTGTCTAAGATCAAACTTGTCTAAACCTATCAAGAGGTAGGAAACAGAGCAGAAAGTTTATGATTCACTAGTCTGTTCTGGTGCAATCCAAAATTCACCCAAAAAAATGTTTAAAAAACCACCAACCCACTTCCTGTTTCTGTGGCACTGTAAAACAGTGATGAGTAAAAACTCTTCCATAGTTTTTTTAACTTTGTTATTAAGATGGCAATATAATATCATCCTTTCACTGTTAAAACATCCAAGTTGTAATCTTTAAATTTCCATCTCATATTTTTGCTGACTCAAATTTCAGGCTCAGGCCAGGTGCAGTGATTCATGCCTGTAATCCCGACACTTTGGGAGGCTGAGGTGGGTGGATCACCTGAGGTCAGGAGTTCAAGACCAGCCTGGCCAACATGGCAAAACCCCGTCTCTACTAAAAAATGCAAAAATTAGCCAAGTGTGTGGTGGGCGCCTGTAATCCCAGCTGTTCAGGAGGCTGAGGCAGGGAGAATTGCTTGAACCCAGGAGGCAGAGGTTGCAGTGAGCCAAGGTCATGCCACTGCACTCCAGCCTGGGCAACAGAGCAAGACCGTGTCTCAAAAAAAAAAAAAAAACAAAAAAAAAAAACAGAAACAAAACAAAAAAAAAATTTAGGCTTATACCCTAATCAAGGCTCAACCTACCAAAAATTGCCATAGTAGTAGACTATTTGAGTTTAGGAAACTTGCCCCTCTCATATACACTCCCAATTTTGGTGCCAAATGGTAGGGCAACTGGGCACTGAAAACAGAAGGGAATAAAACCTGTTTTCTAGAAAGGATGATACATAGCAAGATTTTCCTCCATCAAATAAATTTTGAGCAATAGTACATTACATGATGGATGTATTTGGAAGGGCAAAGGTAGCCTTGATACTAGCCTTGAGGCTGACTTTTTTATTTTTATATCTTTACTTTTTTTTTTTTTTTATTGAGACAAGGTCTTGCTCTGTCACTCAGGTTGGAGTGCAGTGGTGTGAACACAGCTCACTGCAGCCTTAACCTCCCCGGCTGCACCTCAAGTGATCATCCCACCTCAGCCACCCGAGTAGCTATAGTCACGCCTGTAGTAGTGCACCACCATGCCCGGCTAAATTTTCAAAAATTTTTTGCAGAAAAGAGATCTCACTTTGTTGCCCAGGCTTTCAATATTAAATATACACCACACTGAAAATATTCTCTTCTGTCCCTTAAGAAAGAAGATTTTTCTCAGAGATAGTTTGCATTATTTGGTACACATTTGTTCAAATGACTGCATTTCAACAGGTTTACATCCATCTGCTCATAATTTGGAAGATATAATTTAGATTTGGATGTCCTTATGATGGCCTTTTAGATGCACTCAAAGACCCTGGGTCTATGAAGACTTTAGAAATACTCAAAAACACATTCAAAGAGAAAGTTTTCTAATGATAGTGTGTATAGAAGCCATTAAAAATGTAGCTTTCTGTCCCCCACACTGTGTTCTGATTTACTACTTCTGGGGTAGAAACCCTGAGAATCTCTGTTGTTTTCTCTTCCGTTGTGATAAAATACACAAATTTGCATCTTTTTTTTTCTTTTTTTGAGACAGGGTCTCATTCTGTCTTCCAGGCCAGAGTGCAGTGGCTTGATCACAGTTCATTGCAGCCTCAACCTCCCAGGCTCAAGTGATCTTCCCACCTTCGCCTCCCAAGTAGCTGAGACTACAGTCATGTACCACCATGCCTGCCTATTTTTTTCTAGTTTTTTTAACCTTCTTTTGTAGAGACGGGTTCTTGCTCCGTTGCCTAGGCTGGTCTTGAACTCCTAGGCTCAAGAGATCTTCCCCCTTGGCCTCCCAAAGTGCATGAGCCACTGTGCCTGGTCTGCATATTTTTTTTTTTTTGAGACCGGGTCTGGTTCTGTTGCCCAGGCTAGAGTGCAGTGGTGTGATCTTGGCTCACTACCACACCTCTGCCTCCCAGGCTCAAGCCATCCTCCCACCTCAGCCTCCCGAGTAAAATTAGCCTGACTAATTTTTGTATTTTTTATAGAGACAGGGTCTCACTTTGTTGCCCCTGCTGGTCTTGAACTCCTGAGCTCAAGCAATTATATGAGGGGTAATCGCCTTGGCCTCCCAAAGTGCTGGGATTATAGGCATGAGCCACAGCGCCTGGCCCCTGCATCATTTTTTTTTTCCCCTGAGATGGAGTCTTGCTCTGTTGCCCAGGCTGTAGTGCAATGGCACGATCTCAGCTCCCTGTAACCTCCATCTCCCAGGTTTAAGTGATTCTCCTGCCTCAGCCTCCCGAGTAGCTGGGATTACAGGTGTGTACCACCACGCCCAGCTAATTTTTGTATTTTTGGTAGAGATGGAGTTTCACGTGTTGGCCAGGCTGGTCTCAAACCCACCCACCTTGGCCTCCCAAAGTGCTGGAATTACAGGTGTGAGCCACCACGCCCGGCCCTGCCCCCACCCCCCGCATCATTTTTAACATACACTGCAGATGATTACAATACAGAATTTCAAAGAAGCACATTTTGAGGGATATTCTTCTTAACACCTCATAAAGTTTCCTTTTACCTAATAAGGATTTTTTTCACAGAATGTAAATCCCAAGACAGGAGAGATTTTTATCTTTTCTCGTCACTGCTATATCCTTAGTAGTTATTAGTTCAGAATCTGGTTCATAATTGGCTCGCAATAATTTTTGTGAATGCCTGAATAAATAAAGTATTTATTTTAGATACAGTAAGTTTCAATTTAAAAAATTTCAAATATACAATTTTCTGTATACTATATATTTATTTGATATAATGGTATATCCTAAGTTTTCTTCAGAAAGAAGCATAAAATCTTTAGTGTTAATTTCTGTACATGTTTACTTGTACATGTATATTTAAATCATAGAAGACTGAAGAATAAATTAGTCTTAATAATGAATTACCCCTCATATAATTTCGAATACAAGACTTTAAAAGTTTTCTTATTTGTTTGAATCTATGGGTGCTATGGAAGAATTAGAATAAATCATATTCACCATAGGTATTTTGCACAAGTATTCCAGTTATCCGTGGTCCACCCCCTTTTACCTTTGTATAAGTCATAAATGAATAATGACCCTTCTCATGGGGTACATTAAAGGTCTGTTTTACTCTTTTGTTTTATACAAGCTTCAATTAATTACAAACTAATAGATATGATGACCAATATTTACAACATAATGTCTACAGTAAAGTTCTGTGACATTTTGAGCTGGTAAACTAATAAATAAACTATGACAATTGTAATTTTATTGAGGCCCCCAGAATTTGGCTTAGATCAATTATTTTCTCTTTTACAAATGGAGTTTCTGCTTTTCACCTTACAAAATAGATATAGCTTTATTTTTCTTTTGAGCTAACATGTAAAGTCTGAAAAATTACTACTGAATATTTAAAGCTACAAAAATTTTAAAAAATTTCAGATATTGATTTATTTATTTGAGACAGGGTCTCCCTCTGTCACCCAGGCGGGAGTATGCGGCAGGATAATAGCTTGCTGCAGCCTTGAATGCCTGGGCTCAAGCAGTCCTCCCAGTGATGCCTCCCAAGTAGCTAGGACTACAGGCATGCACCACCACACCCAGCTAACTTTTTAAAAAACATTTTGTAGAGACAGGATCTCTCTATGTTGGCCAGGCTGGTCTTGAACTCCTGAGCCCAAGCAATCCTCCTACCTTGGCATCCCAGAGTGCAGGGATGACGAGTGTGAACCACCGTGCCTGGCCCATAGGTATTTGACTTCCCTTAAAAAAAAAAAAGAGACCAGGCACATGGCTCACATCTGTAATTCTGGCACTTTGGGAGGGTGAAGTGGGCGGATCACTTAAGCCAGAAGCTTTAGGTCAGCCTGGCCAACATAGCAAAACCCCATATCT
The DNA here is from genome assembly GCF_000001405.40 of Homo sapiens. Classification (NCBI taxonomy): domain Eukaryota; kingdom Metazoa; phylum Chordata; class Mammalia; order Primates; family Hominidae; genus Homo; species Homo sapiens. The sequence goes on along the minus strand of NC_000011.10, from coordinate 33,007,914 downwards.
ACTAAAAATTCAAAAATTAGCTGGGCGTGGTGGTGCACACCCATAATCCAAGCAATTCGGGAGGATGAGGCACAAGAATCGCTTGAACCCAGGAGGTGGAGGTGGCAGTGAGCTGAGATCATGCCACTGCACTTTCGCCTGGGCAACAGAGAAAGATCCTGTGTCAAAAAAAAAATAGAAGAAGAAGAAGAATTTGAGTTACTGTTAATAAATTGTCCAACAGTCAATATCCAGTCAAGAATAACCATAGTTCTACAGTGAGCCGTGATCACACCATTGTACTCTAGCCTAGGCAAAGAGCAAGACCCTATTTCAAAAACAAACATGCAAACAAACAAAAAACAGAATAACTATAGTTGAGAGCCATAGCCACACACTCAGAGCTGAGTACTTGGCTTCCAGAACATGATTCTGAGGATTTCTTTTATCTTGCTGGTTGTTATTTCTTGGTCTCCTTTCCTTTGACATCTCCTCTTCTCCCTGCCTATTAATGTTGAAGTGTCCCAGGGCTCAGTCTTTTGTCCTCTATTCACTCCCTCAGTGATCTTATTCAGTCTTGTGGTTTTTAAAACCGACTGGATATGGTGGCCCATGACTCTAATCCCAACACTTTGGAGTCTGAGGCAGGAGGATCACTTGAGGCTGGAAGTTTGCGATCAGCCTGAGCGACAGTATGACCCTGTCTCTACAAAAAATAAAAAATTAGCCATCCAGCCTGGGGAACATGTCAAAACCCATCTCTACTAAAAATAAAAAGTTTGCTGAGCATGGTTGCACACACCTGTAGTCCCAGCTACTTGGGAGGCTGAGGTGAGAGGATTGCCTGAGCCCAGGAGATAGAGGCTGCAATGAGCCATGATCGTGCCACTGCACTCCAGCCTGGGTGACACAATGAGACCCAGTCTCAACCAATCAATCAAAATATTTGAACACTCCCAAAATTATATCTGTACTCTAAACCTTTCTTTGAACTTCACCCTCATTATCCTACTGCCAACTCCACTACATCTCCACTTGGATGGCCAGTAGGCATCCCAAACTTAACATGGTCCCACACTGAACTACTTATTTTTCCCTTCTAGGTCTGCTCCACGGGAAACTTTCTCCAGCTCAGTTAAAGGCAGCTTCCACTCTAGTAGTTCAGGCAAAAAAACTTGGAGTTATTCTTGACTCCTCTCTTTCTCTCATACCCTCCACCCAGTTCATGAGGAATCTGACCATGTCCCACAACGTGTATTCCTACCACCCTGGCCTGAGTAACAGTCACCTCTTACCCAGATTACTGCAGTACCTTCCTAATTGGTCTTCTTGCTTTTTTTCCTTGTTATGCCACCCTTTTTAGTTTCCTAACAAAGCAGCAAGAGTAGTCCTTAAAACATAAGTCACGGAGACCATCCTGGGCCACATGGGGAAGCCCCATCTCTACAAGAAAGACAAAAATTAGCTGGGCATGTTGGTGTACGCCTGTAGTTCAGGCTGCCTGGGAGACCGAGGTAGGAGGGTCACTTGAGCCCTGTAGGTGGAGGCTGGAGTCAGCCATCATTGCCAGCCTGGGCAAGAGAGTGAGAACTTGTCTCAAAAAAGCAAAACAAAACAAAAAAAATTAAGTCTGATTATTATTCTTTTTGGTTCAAAACCCAGCAAAGACTGCCTAACTACCCTTCCCTCATTCCATTCCAGCCACATTAGCTTCCTTATCTGTTAACACCTCAGGCACACATTGCTACCTTTAAGGCCTCCAGACATCTGTTCACTCTGCCTTAAATTTTCTTTCTTCCAATAACCATGGCTAACTCATATTCTTCAAATCCTGGTTCAAATGTCACCTTATCAATGAGGACTTCCTTAAGAATCCTGTGTAAATATTGCAACCATGATCCCACCTCCCACAGCTACCCCTCAGCACTCCAGATACTCCGTATCCTGGTCTTCTTCTCTTTTCCACGTTTCTTATCCCTTTCAATACATATACTGACTTAAAAAAATTATCATATCTATTTTTTACTGTCTGTCCTCTCCCTCTCCCAATATAATCTCCATGTGGTCAAGACTCATGACGTATCCCAAGCACCTAGAACAGTGCCTGGCATACAGTAGGCATGCAGTGAATCTTTGATGCAATAAGGAATGAAAAGCAGATGATTTTCCCTTTGCTACCAGGATTTCTTACATTGCAGAATTGTCCCACAAGTTCCATTTTGAGTTTTTTTTTTCTTTCTTTCTTGAAAGAGGAGAGGTCTATACAAGTCTAATTTTGCTTAAAAATAGGAGAAAGAGATCCTCCTTGGGTCCCCACATTATACATTGTTGTGTTGTTGAGTACCTTCTCTCAGATCTTTGGCCAGAGAGCACATTGGCATAAATTTACATGACCAGGTCTACAGTCTAACGTCCTCAGAGTTTCTTTCTTATGTTTGGTAAAATCTCTGTATCAGGATCAGCTTTCCAGCTTTTCATGTGGTCTAGCTTTCACTCATATATATATGGTGTTTTCATTGTCTTTCCTGTTGTAATTTCCTCCTGGGTGAGGAAACACCCTTTCACCTGTTGGCTGGTGTTTGATGTGGGCATGCTTAGACTCAGGCCTTCCAACTCCTGTGACTTTCAAAGGCCTTTTGAGTTTGGAGAGGGTGTGTCAGTTGGACTGCCCCCTAAAGTCGTGTGACCTATCCTTTCTGCCTCTCATTATTCCTTTAAGTTAGGGGTTGATAGTTAGATTCTGTCAAATCTATATTTACTTCCCATACAAATATCCTGCTTTCTTTGCAAGAGAAGTTAAACATCAGATCTGGTGTCTTTTTTCACTCTGGTGTGATTCAATACTCTGTTTAGCAGACATTTTAAAATGTGGAGCATTTGGTTGACATCCTCTTTATTGATGCAGATTTTTTCCCCTTTGTTTATTAAGTTCATTTGGCCTTTTCACTTGTAGTTTGGCAGGGGCCAGTTATAAATTGGTGCTTGAAAATCCTGAGGTATATACTTCCAATAATTCCTGGTAGGCATGTGTTCAAAAGTTTTCCATCTCTTCTGCACTTAGGAATAAGCTCTCTAAGTGATTTCAGTATGCAGGTAGATTGGGGGCTGCTGGAATAGATGATCAGTGAGACTTACATGAGGGTTTAGAGGAAAGGTGAAATCTTGCAGTGGTAATAACTACACCTCAGAACCCTTAAGCAGCATCCTTAATGCATCACCATTTAGCTGTTTTTTTTTTTTCCTGGAAATTCTTTTTGTTTTTTTGTGTTTTTTTTCCACCAAAGCCTAAAGGCATTACCCAAAATATCAAGATACTGCAGATACCTGGTTATCTTCACTGCTTGTGAGGTGTTTCAAATTAGATTTTTGTTCCTTGTAATTTTTCAGTGTTTCAAGGGAACCATTTTTTTCTAGGATTCACCATCTATTACTATAATTTCATGAGTTCCTTATATGGAGTCTAATCATTTATGCATTCAAAACATATTTATTGAGGTCTTATAATGTGCCAGATACCAGAGGTGGATTCAGGTTCTGTGGAGCCTGAAACTTACTACAAATTTGTGGGCCATCTTTGAAAAAAGAAGAAAGGTTGGTCTGATGGGAGTGGATTATCAGAATTTATTAACATTAATGTTACTAAAATTGGTTTATAGCCCCCCACTGCTAAATTTGACTGGCTTTTAAAAAACAGAAAAACAAAAATAAGGAAGGGAAGGGAGAAAAAAAAAGAGGGGAAGGGGGGGAGGGGCAAGAGAGGACTATGAAAACAATGACAATGACAGTGGTAGCAGTTTTGATAAAAGTACAAATTCAAAATTAGGTACAGACTTCTGCTTCTAGGAAGATGTAATAGAAATACATTTCCCCATTCCTTCTACTAAGTACAACTAAAAACCCTAGTTACTATCTATAAAACAAACATACCTGGACTCTGAAGGATGGAGAAGAGAAGACAGACCGAGGCACAGCCTCAAGACCCAAGACAGGCCTTGGGACCCGAGAATGACGTGGTGATAAGTTTTCTTTTACCTTATATATCCAGACAAAGCTGAAGAAGCCAGCAACCTGAAAACACCAATGGGCACAGACAGAAGAACCTGCTCGCTCCAGCCAGAGACGTATGAGGACTTGTAGGTAAGAGGATTGTTTCTAGTCCTGGCTCTGCCATTAACAAATGGTAACTTGGTAGATAACTGTTTCTCCAGCTCTCCGTGGTCAGCCAGCATTATGATTGAAAGTTGGGAAAGGAAAGGAGTTGTGTTTTAAGCAAATTTTAAGAGTTTACTTTTTTATTGCTTAATATAGAAATAACTGCATATTGTAGAACATTTGAAATGAAAGAAATGTATAATGAAAAATTTCAGAGCCGGCCCGGTGGCTCACGCCTCTAATGCCAGCACTTTGGAAGGCCGAGGCAGGCAGATCATGAGGTCAAGAGATCGAGATCAGACTGGCCAACATGGTGAAACCCTGTCTCTACTAAAAATACAAAAATTAGCTGGGTGTGGTGGTGGGTGCCTGTGATCCCAGCTACTGAAGAGGCTGAGGCAGGGGAATCACTTGAACCTGAGAGGCGGAGGTTGCAGTGAGCCGTGATTGTGCCACTGCACTCCAGCCTAGTGACAGAGCAAGATTCCATCTCAAAAAAAAAGAAAAGAAAAAAGAAAAATTTCACTATTTAGAATATTTAGAAATAAGCATTATTAACATTTAAGGCATTAAAAAATTCTTTTAAATGATGTGTTATGCAATTGAGGTCATACTGGATATAAAATTTTGCATTTACATTTTTTGCTTAATGCTAGAACATATTACAAACTTTTTAATAAAACATTTTTATAGGCTAGGCATTCTTTTATCACATAAATATACTGAAATTCACTTAACCATTTAAATAAATATATATATATTTTTTCAAAGTAATTCATATTAGCATTTTTGTGGTATTTAAATACCTGTTACTTTTAGTTTACATTTCTTTGGGTCATTGACCAAAATATTTGACAAGGCCTTTGGAAATATAAAGGGTCATTTGGATGTGTGAAATTGGGCATTCTTCCTATGTTTTTAGCTAAGGTCTGTAACTAACGATCTGTAGTGGTGGGATTTTAATAAATGGCATAAATAATTAAGACAGCCTAATAGAAGTAAATTAAGTAAATATTAAAAAGAAACTTATAAATTAGGACTTGGACAATTTTGGATTGGAACTGCAATTTTGCTTCCTTTGTAAATCTTGTTTTCTGGTGTGTGTGTGTGTGTGTGTGTGTGTGTGTGTTATGAGACTGTAAGTGAAGCCTCCATGTAGTGTAATTCCTCATAATTAAATAAACATTTATTGGGAAGCACTTTCAGAATGACAGAGTAAGGACTTCCAAAAACTTATTTCTCCATAAAAGCAATAAGATCACTGGCAGACATTCTCTAGTTTTTCAGAACTCTAGAAAAAACCAAAGACATTTAACAATCTGAGGAGTGCTTATTGAAGAAAAATGGTGAAATCTCAGACAGTGAGATTTGTAGTGTTTAACTTGCCCTATGTCAATTCCCCCCTCCCCAGCTCCATGGTAGTCTTGAAACCCAGCAATCTTGAAACCACAGTATCTGTGAAAAGCAGCAGCCTAGCAGCCGTGGCCTGAAATGGTTATATCAGTTGGGGCAAACAAGAAGCTGGCTAAAAAAAAACTTAAAAGGAAAATCTAGCAAGTGAGATGTCCATAGGGGCTTTGAAAAATTCTGTGGGGCTGGTGGCCAAGATGGTGTATTAGAAGCAGCTGCGGTCCGCAGCACTCATGGAGAGGAATGAAAGGGGCAAGTAAATACAGCACCTTCAACTGAAATATTCAGGTACTCTCATTGAGACTGGTCAGGGGAACAACTCAGGCAGGGTGGGGCAACGGCCCACCTGGGAGTGACACAAAGCCAAGGGAACCCTCACCCTTAGCTGAGGGAAGTGGTGAGTGATTGTGTGGCCCTGGGAAACCGTGCTTCTCCCACGGATCTTTGCAACCTGTGGATCAGGAGATCCCCTCGTGAGCCCACACCACCAGGGCCTTGGGTCTGATACACAGAGCTGTGTGGCGTCTCAGCAGAGCAGCCACTCAGGCACATGCAGAGACCCAGGAGTTTTATATACTCTGGCCCCAGGATCCCTGGCAAGGTGGGAGGCCTGTACATATCCCTAGGAAGGGAGCTGAATCCATGGAGCCAAGCAATGTAGTTCTGCGGGCCCCACTTCCACAACACCTTACAAGATAAGACCCACTGACTTGAATTGCAGCCAGCCACTGGCAATAGGGTAGAGCCTGCTGGAGATGGAATAGAGCCCTCAGCGGGAGGGGCAGCCACCATCTCTGCTGTTTGGTTGACTCAACCATTCCAGCCTGCGGGCTTTGGAGAGTCCAAACAGTCCGGACAAGCTCAGCTCAGCACAGCTGCTTTGTCAGATTGTGACCAGACTGCTTCTTTAAGCCGGACTCCAGTCCATTTCTCTTCACTGGGTGAGACTTCCCAGTAAGGCCCTCCAACCAGCCCCATGCATTTTCTATGGACAGAGATCTGATCTGTCCCTGGGACAGAATGCCTGTGGGAGGAGAGGGCCACCACCTGAGTTGCCTGGACGACTCAGCCATTCCAGCCTGCGGGCTTTGGAGAGTCCAAGATGATGGAGCAGAGGCAGTTCCCAGCACAACAAGGCTATCTTATTGAAGTATGGCCAGAATGCTTCTTTAAGTGGGACCCTGATCCACTCCTCCTTATGGGCAGGTCCTCCCAGCGAGGGCCTCCAGCCACCTCTGCCCATGTTCTACTGCCAACCAAGCTTAATTTCTCCCTGGGACAGAGTCCCTGGGGAGCAGGGCAGGCTGCCACCTTGGCTGTTTAGGGTTATCAGACAGTCCAGCCTATGGGCCCAAATCAATTGGGGACCAAAGGGATCCGCAACACAGCACAGTTGCTCTACCAAAAAGCAGCTAGACTGCTTCTTTAAGAGGGCCCCTTATCCCATTTCTCCTAACTGGGTGAGACCTCCAATTGGGGTCTCCAGCCACCTCCTATAGGTGCCTTCAGGCTGGCAACAGGTCAGTACCCCCTGGGACGAAGCTTCCAGAGGAAGGGGTAGGCTGCCATCTTTGCTGTTTCGCAGTCTTCACTGGTGATGTCTCCAGGTACAGGAAAAACTGAGGCAACTAAGGTCTGGGGCAGACCCCCAGCAAACCACAGCAGCCCTATGGAAGAGTGGCCAGACTGTTAAAAGAGAAAACAACAACAACAATGACAATACCCACAAAAACCCCACGCAAAGGTCAGCAACCTCAAAGATTGAAGGTAGATAAGTCCACAAAGATTAGAAAGAATCAATGCAAATACTCTGAAAATTCAAAAAGACAGAGTGTCCCTTTTCCTCCAAATGACCACAACACCTCTCCAGCAAGGGCTAAGAACTAGGCTGAGGCTGAGATGACTGAAATGACAAAAGGAGGCTTCAGAATGTGGATAAAAATGAACTTCACTGAGCTGAAGGAGCATGTTGTAACCCAATGCCAGGAAGCTAAGACTCATGATAAAACAATGCAGAAGCTGACAGCCAAAATAGCCAGTTTAAAGAGAAACATAACTGACCCAACAGAGCTGAAAAAAACACTACAAGAACTTCACAGTGCAATCACAAGTATTAATAGCAGAATAGACCAAGCAGAGGAAAGAATCTGAGAGCTTGAAGACTATCTTTCTGAAATAAGACAGGCAGACAAGAATAGAGAAAAAAGAACGAAAAGGGATGAACAAAACCTCCAAGAAATATGGGATTATGTAAAGAGATCGAATCTATGATGGATTGGGGTACTTGAAAGAGACAGGAAGAATGGAACCAATTTGGAAAACATACTTCAGGATATCATCCAGGAGAACTTCCCCAACCTAGCAAGACAAACCAACATTCAAATCCAGGAAATGCAGAGAACCCCAGTAAGATAAGATACTCCACAAGAAGATCATCCTCAAGACATATAATCATCAGATTCTCCAAGATCTAAATGAAAGAAAAACTGTTAAGGGCAGCCAGAGAGAAAGGCCAGGTTACCTACAAAGGGAATCCTATCAAACTAACAGCAGACCTCTCAGTGAAAAGAGATTAGGGGCCAATATCCAACATTCTTAAAGAAAAGAATTTCCAACCCAGAATATCATATCTGGCCAAACTAAGCTTCATAGGCAAGGGAGAAAATGGGCTAAATGCCCCAATCAAAAGACAGAGAGTGGTTAGCTGGGCATGGTGGTGCGCACCTATAGTCCCAGCTACTCAGGAGGCTGCAGCAGGGGAATCACTTGAACCCAGCAGGCAGAGGTTGCAGTGAGCTGAGATCATGCCACTGCACTCCAGCCTGGGTGACAGAGCGAGACTCCGGACACAGAGTGGCAAGCTAGATAAAGAACCAAGACCCGGCCGGGTGCGGTGGCTCACCCCTGTAATCCCAGCACTTTGGGACACCGAGGCGGGTGATCGAGACCATCCTGGCTAACACGGTGAAACCCCGTCTCTACTAAAAATACAAAAAAAATTATCTGGGTGTGGTAGCAGGCACCTGTAGTCCCAGCTACTTGGGAGGCTGAGGCAGGAGAATGGCGTGAACCCAGGAGGCGGAGCTTGCAGTGAGCCGAGATTGTGCCATTGCACTCCAGCATGGGCGACAGAGAAAAAAAAAAAAAAAAAGAACCAAGACCCATCAGTATGCTGTCTTCAAGACACGACACCCATCTCACATGCAAAGACATATATAGGGATGGAGGAAAATGGAAAACAGAAAAAAGCGGATTGCAATCCTAGTTTCTGACAAAACAGACTCTAAACCAACAAAGATCAAAAAAGAAAAGACAGAAGGGCATTACATAATGGAAAAGGGTTCAGTTCAACAAAAGAGTAACTATCCTAAATATATATGCACTTGATATAGGAGCACCCAGATTCATAAAGCAAGTTCTTAGAAACCTTCAAAGATTAGACTCATACACAATAATAGAGGGAGACTTTAACAAAGCTGCCTGACTATATTAAACAGATCATCAAGACAGAAAATTAACAGAGATATTCAGGACCTGGATCAAGTTGACCTGATAAATATCCACAGAACTCCCCACCCAAAAACAACAGAATATACATTCTTCTTATTGGTACACGGCACTTACTATAAAATTGATCACATAATTGGAAGCAAAACAACCCTGAGCAAATGCAAAATAACTGAAATCATAACAATCTCTCAGGACCAATGGTCAATCAGATTAGAACTCATGATTAAGAAATTCACTCAAAACCACACAAGTACATGGATATTGAACAACCTGCTCCTGAATGACTTTTGGATAAATAATGAAATTAAGGCAGAAATTAAGAAGTTCTTTGAAACTAATGAGAACAAAGAAACAATGTACCAGAATCTCTGGGACACAGCTAAAGCAGTGTTAAGAGGAAAATATATAGCACTAAATGCCCACATTGAAAAGCTAGAAAGATCTCAAGTGAACAACATAACATCACAACTAAAAGAACTAGAGGACCAAGAGCAAACAAACCCCAGAGCTAGCAGAAGACAAGAAATAACGAAGATGAGAGCTGAGCTGAAGGAGATAGAGACATGAAAAACCCTTTGAATAATAAAAAAATCCAGGAGCTGTTTTTCTGAAGAAAGTAATAAAATAGATAGACCGCTAGCTAGACTAATAAAGAAGAAAAGAGAGGGCCAGGCGCAGTGGCTCACACCTGTAATCCCAGCACTTTGGGAAGCCAAGGTGGGCAGATCACGAGGTCAAGAGATCGAGACCATTCTGGCCAACATGGTGAAACCCCGTCTCTACTAAAAGTACAAAAATGAGCTCAGCGTGGTGGTGCTCACCTGTAGTCCCAGCTACTCGGGAGGCTAAGGCAGGAGAATTGCTTGAACCCGAGAGGCGGAGGTTGCAGTGAGCCAAGATCGTGCCACTGCGCCACTGCACTCCAGTCTGGTGACAGAGCAAGACTCCATCTCAAAAAAAAAGAAGATTCAAATAAACACAATCAGAAATGATAAGGGGAATATCATCACTGACCCCACATAAATATAAACAACCATCAGAGAACACTATAAACACCTCTATGCACATAAGCTAGGAAATCTAGAAGAAATGGTTAAATTCCTAGACACATACACCCTCCCAAGACTGAACCACAAAGAAATTGAATCACCAAATAGACCAATAACGAGTTCTGAAATTGAGGCAGTAATAAATAATCTACCAATCAAAAAAGCCCAGGACCAGATGGATTCACAGCTGAATTCTACCAGAGGCATAAAGAAGAGCTGGTACTGTTTCTACTGAAACTATTCCAAAAAATTGAAAAGGAGGGACCCCTCCCTAACTCATTCTATGGGACCAGCATCATCCTGATCCCAAAACCTGGCAGAGATGCAACAAAAAAAGAAAACTCCAGGCCAATATCCTTGATGAACATTGAAGCAGAAATTCTCAGCAAAATACTGGCAAACTGAATCCAGCAGCACATCAAAAAGCTTATCCACCATGATCAAGTGGGCTTCATCCCCAGGATGCAAGGTTGGTTTAACATACGCAAATCAATAAATGTCATTCATCACATAAGCAGAACTAAAGACAAAAACCACATGATTATCTTAATAAATGCAGAAAAGGCCTTTGATAAAATTCAACATCCCTTCTTGTTAAAAACTCTCAATAAACTTGGTATTGAAGGAACATGACTCAAAATAGTAAAACCCATATATGACAAACCCACAGCCAATATTATACTGAATGGGCAAAAGCTGGAAGCATTCCCCTTGAAAACTGGTACAAGACAAGGATGCCCTCTCTCACCACTCCCTTCAACATAGTGTTGGAAGTTCTGGCCAGAGCAATCAGGCAAGAGAAAGAAGTAAAGGATATTCAAGTAGGAAGAGAGGAAGTCAAACTAATTTGTTTGCAGATGATGTGATCCTATGTCTAGAAAACCCCATCATCTCATCCCAAAATCTTCTTAAGCTGATAAGCAAGTAAAGCAGAGTCTTGGGATACAAAATCAATGTGCAAAATTGCTAGCATTCCTATACAGTAACAACAGGCAAGCCAAAAGCCAAATCACAGATGAACTCCCATTCACAATTGTCACAAAAAGAAAAAAAATACCTAGGAATACAGCTAACAAGAGAAGTGAAGGACCTCTTCAAGGAGAGCTACAAACCACTGCTCAAATAAATCAGAGATGACATAAACAAGTGGAAAAACGTTCCACACTCATGGATAAGAAGAATCAATAACATGAATATAGCCATACTGCTGAAAGCAATTTATAGATTCAATGCTATTCCCATTAAACTACCATTAACATTCTTCACAGAATAAGAAAACAACTATTTTAAAATTTGTATGGAACCAAAAAAGAGCCCAAATAGCCAAGGAAATCCTGAGCAAAAAGAACAAAGCTGGAGGCATCGCATTACCCAACTTCAAACTATACTACAGGGCTACAGTAGCCAAAACAATATGGTACTGGTACAAGAACAGATACATAAACCAATGGAACAGAATAGAGAACCCAGAAATAAGACCGTGCCCCTACAACCACCTGATCTTCAACAAACCTGACAAAAACAAGCAAGGAGGAGAAGATTCCCTACTTAATAAATGGTGCTAGGAGAACTGGCTAGCCATATGCAAAAAACTGAAACTTGACCCCTTCCTTACAACACATTACAAAAATCAGCTCCAGATGGATTAAGGACTTAAATGTAAAATCAAAAACTATAAAAACCTTAGAAGAAAACCTAGGCAATGTGCCATTCAGGATATGGCATGGGCAAAGATTTCATGATGAAGATGCCAAAAGCAATTGCAACAAAAGCAAAAATTGACAAAATCTAATTAAACTAAAGAGCTTCTGCACAGCAAAAGAAACCATCAACAGAGTAAACAGCCTACAGAATGGGAGAAAATTTTTGCAATCTATCCATCTGACAAAGGTCTAATATCCAGCATCTATAAGGAACTTAAACAAATTTACAAGAAAAAACAACCGCATTAAAAAGTGGGCAAAAGACATGAAGAGACACTTTTCAAAAGAGGACATACATGCATCCAACAAACATGAAAAAAAGCTCAACATCACTACTTATTAGGGAAATGTTAATCAAAGCCATAATAAGAAACCATCTCATACCAGTCAGAATGGCTACTATTAGAAAGTCAAAAAAACAACAGATGCTGGTGAGGTTGTGGAGAAAAAGGAACACTTTTACACTGTTGGTGGAAGCGTAAATTGGTTCAACCATTGTGGAAGACAGTGTGGTGATTCCTCAAAGACCTACAGGTAGAGATAGCATTTGACCCAGCAATTCATTACTGGGTATATACCTAGGGGACTATAAATCATTCTATTATAAAGATACATGGATATGTATGTTCATTGCAGTACTATTCACAATAGCAAAGACATGAAATCAACCTAAATGCCTATCAATGAGACTGAATAAAGAAAATGTGGTACATACACACCACGGAATACTTTGCAGCCAAAAAAAGGAACAAGATCACGTCCTTTGAAGTGACATGGATGGAGCTGGAAGCCTTTATCCTCAGCAAATGAACACAGGAACACAAAACCAAATACCACATGTTTTCACTTATAAGTGGGAGCTGAATGATGAGGACACATGGACACATGGGGGGCAAACAACACTCACTGGGGCTTGTTGGAGGGTGGGTGGTGAAAGGAGGGAGAGCATCAGGAAGAATAGCTAATGGATGCTGGGCTTAATACCTAGGTGATGGGATGATCTGTGCACAAACCAGCATGGCACACGTTTACCTAACCTGTACATCCTGTACCTGTACCCCTGAACTTAAAATAAAAGTTGGACATAAAAAAAAACACCTCTGTGGCTCATGCCTGTAATCACAGCACTTTGGGAGATCAGGGTGGGAGGATCGCTTGAATCCAGGAATTCGAGACAGCCCGAGTAACATGGCGAAAACCCATCTGTACTAAAAATACAAAAAATTAGCTGTAGTGGTACACACCTGTAGTCCCAGCTACCCGGGAAGCTGAGATGGGAGAATCACTTGAACCCTGGAGATCAAGGCTGCAGTGAGCTAAGTTGCACCTACTACACTCTAGCCTGGGCAATAGGAGTGAGACCCTGTCTCAACAACAACAATAACAACAACAGGAAAAACTGGAATATTCTGGAGGCCATGTGCATTTTGCACACTGTACACATGTCCAGAAAAAAACCTGAGAAGGTTCTAATCTCTCACCTCTGGCTGACTTGTAGGTGCTGCAGAAGAAGGAAGTGAAGATGAAGGCAGAGTTATAAATTGCCAAAGCATTGATAGCATGCCCAAACACACATAGAGATCCTTGGTAAAGGGCAGAAGACTTATTGGTTCAAAGCATTTAAGGAAATGTCTGTGCAATCATTGGCTGGTCACTAAGCTAAATGAGCAGAGACTTCTGTGGCCACACATGGTAAATACTACAAACTTTATAGAATTATACCAGGAAAGTTACTAAACAAATAACAGCAGCAACCAGAACAAACACAAACTACAGCAAAACCTGGCTTGAGGTGGGTATATATCCAGATTTACCACATTATAGTGCTTAAAATATTTAATTATCAACAAAAATTAAGACATGCAAAGAAATAAGAAAGGAGAACAAATGTACAGGATAAAAATTATCAGTAGAAACTGACCCTGAGGAAGCCCAAAGACTTCAATTCACCCATTATAAATATATTCATGGAATTAGAAGAAAAGATGTTTAAAGAATTAAAGGAATGTATGAGAACAATGTCTTACATAATACAGGATATCAAGAAACAGAAATTATAAAATAGAGTTGGGGCCGGGCACAGTGGCTCATGCCTGTAGTCCCAGCACTTTGGGAGGCTGAGGTGGGCAGATCACTTGAGGTCAGGAATTTGAAACCAGCCTGGCCAACATGGTAAAACCCCGTCTCTACTGAAAATACAAAAATTAGCCAGGCGTGGTGATGCATGCCTGTAATCCCAGCCATTCAGGAGGCTGCGGCATGAGAATCACTTGAACCCAGGGGGCAGAGGCTGCAGTAAGCCGAGATTGCGCCACTGTACTCCAGCCTGGGCGACAGAGCAAGACTCTCTTAAAAAAAAAAAAAAAAAAGAGTTTGAAAGCATAATAACTCAAGTGAAAAATTCACGAGAGGGACTCAACAGCATATTTGAGCTGGAAGAAGTAAAAATCAGCATACTTGAAGATAGATTGATTGAAATTATCCAATATGAGGAATAGAAAGAAAAAGAAAGAAGAAAATGAGCAGAGCCTGAGAGACCTGTGGGACATCATCAGGTGTATGAAGATGCCCATAATGGGGTGGCCAAGAAAGAAAGTAGAGAGAGAAAGGAGCTAAAAGAATATTTGAAGAAATAATGACTAGAATGCCATGGTCTGAATATTTTCCCCAAAATGTATGTGTTGGAAACTTAATTCCCAATGCAACAGTGTTGGGAGTGGGGGCTTAATGGGAGGTATTTAGATCATGAGGTCTCTGGCCTCATGAATGGATTAATGCCACTGTAAAAAGGGTTTGTGGGAATAGGTTTACTTTCTTTCATTCTTTTGCCATGTAAAGGCACATTGTTCATATCACCTTGCCCTCCACCTTCTTTCATTCTAAGGCACAGCAAGAAGGCTCTCAACAGTCACCAGATACAGGTACCTTGATCTTGGACTTCCCAGCCTCTAGAACTACGAGAAATAAATTTCTGTTGTTTATAAGCTACCCAGTCTGTGATATTTTAATATAGCAGCACAAAACAAAGACAAAATTCACCACAATTTGATGAAAAATATGAATCAACACATTTAAAAAAACTCAATACTAAGCTGGTTTTGGTGGTGTGTGTCTACAGTCCTAACTCCTCAGGATGCCGAGGTGGGAGAATTGCTTGAGCCCCAGAGTTTAAGACCAGCCTGGGGAACATAGCAAGATCGCATCTCTAAAAACAAAAACAATTGTATAAAGCAATAGTCAGTAATTATAAAACTGTGTTGCTCTTGTTGCATAAGGCAATAATCAGTAGTTTTAAAACTGTGCTGATCTGCGTTGATGGACTTTCAATGTATAAAAATAGATTTTATGTAACAATAGCACAAAGGAGGGGGAAGTGAACAAAGTGGAACTATGTTGGAGAAATGTTTTTATATATTATTTAAATGAAATTGTCATTAATCTGAACTAGGCTGTTTTAAGTTAAGATGTTAATGATGATTTACAGATAAACCACTAAGAAAATAATTCAATAAATATATAGTTAAAAGTCCCAGGGAGTCAGGCATAGTGACTCACACCTGTTATTTCAATGCTTTGGGAGGCTAAGGCAGGAGGATTGCTTGAGACCAGGAGTTTGTGACCAGCCTGAGCAACAGAGTGAGACCTTATCTCTACAAAATAAAAATAGAAATAAAAAATGGCTGGACATGTTAACATGTGCCTGTAGTCCTAGCTACTTGGGAGGCTGCTGAGGGGGCAGAATCATCTGAGCCCAAGAGTTTGAGGCTGCAGTGAGCTGATTGGGCCACTGCACTCCAGCCTGGGTGACAGATTGACACCTTGTCTCAAAACTGAACATAAAGCTCAGGGAATTAAGATGGTACACTAGAAAATCTATTTAGCACAAAAAAGGCAATAATGGAAAATGGAAAAAGAAAAAAGACATAAACCTTTAGAAAACAAATAGCAAAATGTCAGAAAGAAACCCTACTTTATTATAATGACATTAAACATGAATGGATTAAAAACTCTACTCAAAAGACAGAGATTGGCAGAATGGCTTAAAAAAAAGCATGATCCAACAATATACTGTCTGCAAAAGATACAGGTTAGATTCAAAGACATGGATAGGTTAAAAGTAAATAAACATTATCAGGCAACTAATATGTACTTAACAGTGTGCTAGGATTGAGGTATAAAAAGAGAAATAGGACACTATTACCTGTTTTCAATTTCCATATGGTGGGAACAGCTAAGATGTCTAAAAACAATTCCATGGCCATGTGAGAAGTGATAGAAAACAGGATGCTCAGAATTATTTGGGATCACAGGAGGAGTTTCTCAGACTGTCTGAGGGAAAATAGTAGTCTTCTCTATGGAGCTATGTTAAACTTGAGTGTTAAAGGATGTTTACTGGATAGAAGAGGAAGGGGAGGAGGAAGACTTCTTGGTAGGCAGAAGAAATATGGTCAATAAAAGCATGAAAGCATGCTTAAAATGGCGTGCTCAGCAAAAACAAAGAAAAAAACTTGTGTAGCTTCAGAGTTGTGTCTATAATTATAGAGATGGGAGATCTAATGGGAAACTAGGTAGGAAATATAAGGTGGGCCACATCATGACCAGTCTGGTAATCAAGGAGACAAATTCTGGTGACAGTGTGCAGATTAGATTGGAGGATTACGAATCTGGGGGCAAGCCAGATGCGGTGGCTCACGCCTGTAATCCCAGCATGTTGGGAGGCCAAGGCAGGCAGATCACAAGGTCAGGAGTTCGAGACCAGCCTGGCCAATATGGTGAAACCCCGTCTCTTCTAAAAATACAAAAATTAGCTGGGCGTCGTGGCATGTGCCTATAGTCCCAGCTACAGGCTGAGGCAGAAGAATCGCTTGAACCCAGGAGGTGGAGGTTGCAGTGAGCCGAGATCGTGCCATTGCACTCCAGCCTGGGTGACAGAGTGAGACCTTGTCTTAAAAAAAAAAAAAAAAAGAATCTGAGGGCAAGGAGACCAGTGAAGCATGAAAGAGACAGGTGATAAGGACTTGGTCTAAAAAGTACTATTAGTTTGTACTGAAGGGAAGTTAGATGGAGGTGGGGAAGGGAAAGTTGAACAGATTTCTTCCTTCCTTCCTTCTATGCGTATTTCTTCTGCACCTATTAATTGATGTGTATGGTGCTCAGTGAATGTATAGAACTAGGTGGATGATTAGATGTGGTCAGAGAATGAAAGTATCAAAAATGATTTCTATTATTTCTAGCTCAGTCAACTGTGGATAGGGAGGGTATCCTCACTTTTAAAATCAAGGTAAAAGAATTAGAGGAAATTTCCAAAGAATTTAATTTATCAATATATCAAACTCAAGACCTTTTATAACTGATGGCCATTAATTTTGGTAAAAAACACATAGTATAGACTTTTACCCTCTTAATCTTTATTTATTTATTTATTTATTTATTTATTTATTTATTTATTTATTTATTTTAGACAGGGGCTCACTCTGTCACCAGGCTGGAGAGAAACCACATGATCATGGCTCACTGCAGCCTCAATCTCCTGGGCCCAAGCAATTCTCCCTCCTCAGCCTCTCAAGTAGCGTAGACCACAGGCATGAACCAACATGCTGGGCTAATTTTTTCTTCTTTCTTTTCTTTTTGTAGAGATGGGGGTCTCCCTATGTTGCCCAGGCTGGCTGTTTAACTATTTTAAGTATACGGTTCAGTGGTGTTAACTATTTTTCACTTTCTTGTGTACCAGATCTCTAGAAACTTTTTATTTTGCAAAACTGAAAGTCTGTATCCATCCCACAACTCCTTTTTTCCCCTCTCCCAGCCTCTAGGAACCACAATTCTGTTTCTATGATTTTGACTACTCTATATACCTCCTATAAGTGGAATCATACAGTATTTATCTTTATGTTACTGGCTTATTTCACTTAGCATAATGTCCTCAAGGTTAATCCAGGTTGTAATATGTGGCAGGATTTCCTTGTATTTTTAAGTCTGAATAATATTCCATTGTATAGATATACCATATTTTCTTTATCTGTTCATCTGTCAATGGGCATTTAGGCATTTTTGTAATTGTGAATAATGTAATTAATATGGGTATGCAAATATCTCTAGACCCTGCTTTCATATCTTTTGGATATGTATCCAGAAGTGAGATTGCTGGATCATAAGGTAATTCTATGTTTAGTTTGTTGGGGAATATCCTTACTGATTTTCCATGGTGACTGAACCATTTTACATTGCCACCAGCAATGCACAAGTGTTCCAGTTTTTCCACATATGCACCAACACTTATTTTTTTTTCTTTATACAATTTTTAAAAAATATATAGAGTCTCACTGTGTTTCCCAAGCTGGTCTCAAATTCCTGGGCTCAAGTGATCCTCCTGCCTCGGCCTCCCAAAATGCTGGAATTACAGACATCAGCCACTACTCCCTTCCCTCCACTCCCCTCCCCTCCACTCCCCTCCTCTCCCCTCCCCTTCCCATCCCTTCCCTTCCCATGGCCATCCTAATGGGTGTGAGGTGATACCTTGTTGTAATTTTGAATTGCATTTCTTTAATGGTTGGTGATGATGAGCATTAATTCATATGCTTGTTTGTATTTGTATATCTTTTTTGGAGAAATACGTGTTCAGGTGCTTTGCTTGTTTTTTAAATGGGCTACTTTTTTTTTGTTTTTGAGTTGTAGGAGTTCTTTATGTATTCTGGATATTAACCTTTTATTAGATGTGTAATTTGTAATTATTTTCTTTAATTCTGTAAGTTGCCTTGCACTTTGTTCTTTCCTTTGGTATGCAGGAGTTTTTGAGTTTGATGTAGTCCCATGTATCTATTTTCACTTTCATTGCCTGTGCCTTTGGTGTCATATCCAAGAAATCATTGCCAAGTACAATGTCATGAAACTTTCCTCCTATGTTTTCTTCTTCTAAGAGTTTTATAGTTTTAGGTCTTATATTTAGGTCTTTAATCCATTTTGAGATAAAATATCTTATATAGTGTAAGGTGAGGTTCCAACTTCCAACTTTCATGGGTGGATATTGTTCTATCAGCACCATTTGTTGAAGACACTGTCCTTTCCATATAGTGTGGTTGTGGCACTCTTGTCAAAAATTATTTGTGCAAAAGAACAGAAGAAAATTCAGTTGACCATATACATGAAGGATTATTTCTGGGCATTCTATTCTGTTCCATTGGTCTGTGCATTTGTCTTTATGTCAGCACCACACTGTTTTAATTACTATAGCATTGTAATGTGTTTTTAAGGGAGGAGACCACCCCTCATATTGTCTTATGCCCAATTTCTTCCTCCAAAGAAAGAAGAAGTAAAAACTAAAAGGTAGAAATGGAATCCACAGGCAGATAGCGCAGCACCACGCCCTGGGCCTGGTAGTTAAAAATCAACCCCTGACCTAACTACTTGTGTTATCTATAGATTTCAGACATTGTATGGAAAATCATTGTGAAAATCCCTGTCCTGTTCTGTTCTGTCTGATTACCGGTGCATGCAGCCCCCAGTCATGTACCCACTGCTTGCTCAATCGATCACGACCCTCTCATGTGGACCCCCTTAGAGCTGTAAGCCCTTAAAAGGGACAGGAATTGCTCACTATGGAAGCTCGGTTTTTGAGATGTGAGTTTTGCCGATGCTCCTGGCCGAATAAAGCCCTTCCTTCTTTAACTTGGTGTCTGAGGGGTTTTGTCTGTGGCTCGTCTTGCTACATTTTGAACAGACTGCAATATTGATAGGGTCATTACTTCTGGTATTTAGCAGATGATTTAATAGAAATTCATCTGGGGTCCTGCTGTCATTTATGGCAGCAGTCCCCAGCCTTTTTGGCACCAGGGACCAGTTTCATGGAAGAAAATCTTTCCACAGACCAGGAGTGGGGGTGATGGTTTTGGCATGAAACTATTCCACCTCAGATCATTAGGCATTAGTTAGATTCTCCTAAGGAGCATAAGATTCTAGATCCCTTGCACGCGTGGTTCACAGTAGGGTTCTGCTCCTATGAGAATCTAACGCCGTGACTGATCTGACAGGAGGTGGAGCTCAGGCAGTAATGTGAGCAATGGGGAGTGGCTGTAAATAGAGACCAAGTTTCACTTGCTTGCCAGCCACTCACCTTGTGCTGTGTGGCCTGGTTGCTAACAGGCCACAGACTGGTATCGGTTCACGGCCTGGGGGTTGGGGACCCCGATTTACAGGATATTGAACTAATATTTCTCTTCGTGTTTAGAAAAAGTAAGCTAATGTCTGGGTGCAGTTGCTCATGCTTATAATCCCAGCACTTTGGGAGGCTAAGGTGGGTGGATCACTTGAGGTCAGGAGTTTGAGACAGCCTGGCCAACATGGTGAATCGCTGTCTCTACTAAAAATACAAAATTTAGCCAGACTTGGTGGCTGATGCCTGTAATCCCAGCTACTCAGGAGCCTGAGGCAGGAGAATCACTTGAACCTAGGAGGTGGAGGTTGCAGTGAGCCAGGATCATGCCATTGCACTCCAGCCTGGGGGACAGAGAGAGAGACTTCGTCTCAAAAAAATAAAAAATAAATAAAAAATAAAAGCTAACTTTGTGTGTGTGTGTGTGTGTGTGTGTGTTTTAAGATGCAGTCTCGCTCTATCACCCAGGCTGGAGTCCAGTGGTGCAATCTCAGCTCACTGCAACCTCTGCCTGCCGGGTTCCTGCCTCAGCCTCCCAAGTAGCTGCGATTACAGGCATGCACCACCACACCCAGCCAATTTTTATATTTTTAGTAGAGATGGGGTTTCACCATGTTGGTCAGGCTGATCTCGAACTCCTGACCTCAGGTGATCCACCTACCTCAGCCTCCCAAAGTGCTGGGATTACAGGCATGAGCCACCACACCCGACCAATGCTGATCATTTTTCTGTATACCTGCTAGTCATTTGTATGTCTTCAGAGAAATGTTTACTTAGGTCCTTTGTCCTTTTAAGAATTGTTTTCTTACTACTGATTTGTTTCCCTTCTCTCAAGATTACTGTCCTGTGCTGCACATTGTTCAATGTTTGAAAACAATTTTCACTTCTTTTGTCCTCACTTTTAAGTAAAGCAGAAAGATACATCTGGCCCTGTTAGTCCATGATGGCTCAAAGTAGAAGTTGCCATTAGCATTTTTGCCTTTATCCTAACAACAGTAGGTAGCACTGATGGATTTCCAGTGGGACTCACATGATCAGAGTTGTTTGAAAATCAGACGGCTTTGTGGAGAATGGACTAAAGGAAAGCAGTTGGGAAGGGGGAGGCAGCAGTTCAGAGATTATTATAGTAGTCCTGGCATGAGATGATGGTGGTTTGGACCAAAAAGAAGACAGAGGAGAGAGATAGGGAAAGGTAAGATTTATTTAGGAACTGACAGGATACAATTCCCTTTGTGAAGTTCAAAGAATATGACTCAATGGCAAAGGTCTCTACTACTGGTCTTTATAGTCTGTGCTAAAAGTTAATCTGTGAACATCTGAAAATCCTACAGCAGAAGAGAAGAGTGTAAATAAATGATGTTCTTGCTTCTGGATAGACTAGAGAGAGAATTTTAAGCCCATCAGTGATGACTATCTGCAAGGCTTTCACCTTTTCTGTGCTGTAGCTGACACCTCAGTCAGTGGTTGTTATGGACCTCATGTTTGTGTACTCCTGCAATTCTTATATTGAAGCCCTAACCCCCAATGTGATAGTATGTATGTATGTATGTATGTATGTATGTATGTATTTATTTATTTATTTTGAGACTGAGTCTTGCTGTGTCGCCCAGGCTGGTGTGCAGTGGTGCCATCTCGGCTGACTACAACCTCTGCCTCCTGGGTTCAAGAGATTGTCTTGCCTCAGCCTCTCAAGTAGCTGGGACTACAGGCGCCCACCACCACACCCAGCTAATTTTTGTATTTTTAGTAGAGATGTGGTTTCACTATGTTGGTCAGGTCGGTCTCAAACTTCTGACCTCAAGTGATCCTCCCACCTCAGCCTGGCAAAGTGCTGGGATTACAGCTGTGAGCAACCCTGTCCAGCCCCAATGTGATAGTATTTAGAGATACTTTTGAGAGGTAATTAGAGTTTATTGAGGTCATGAGGATGGGGATCTAATTATGGGATTAGTTCCCTTATAAGAAGGTACACCAGAGGGCTTGCCATCTCTCTGCCATGTGAGGGCTGTCTGCCAGCAACTGACCCTGCCAGCCTTGATCTGGGATTTTTAGGCTCCAGAATTATGAGAAAATGAATTTCTGTTGTTTAAGCCACCCAGTCTATGGCATTTTGTTATGGCAGCCTGAGGAGACAAAAATAGTGAGGCTCTCAGCTATAGCAGCCACAGCGATGACTTTTCTTTTTCTTATCTCTTTTTTTTTTTTTTTTTTTTTTGAGACAGGGTCTCGCTCATTCAGGCTGGAGTGCAGTGGCATGATCGTAGCCCACTGCAGCCCTAATGTCTCGGACTCAAGTGATCCTCTTGCCTTAGCCTCCCAAGTAGCACCACCACACCCGGCTAATTTTTAAAATTTTTAGTAGAGACAAGGTCTTGCTTTGTTACCAGACTGGTCTTGAACTCCTGGGTTCAAGCAATCTGTCCACCTTGGCCTCCCAAAGTGTCGGGATTACAGGTATGAGCCACCATGCTGGTGGACTTCTTGTATTTCTCATTTGGATGGCAGAATATTTGTTCATGAGCAGTATGGGCACAGTTAAAGCAAGTTTTTGTTTTGTAGTGCCTTTAAAATATGCTTTAATATGTAATCTTTTTGATAGTGGATTGTTTGCAAACTCCTGTAATAATGTTAATGCATTCACATTAGCGTCAGCTATGAAAAACCCTAACTTCTGACTTCTACTTAAGTCAAATATTATCTTCTAACAAACTCAATGGAGGACTGACATTATAAAGATCTTCTACTGAGTGACCCATAAACAGTTCTTAAGTCATTGATAAATTCTAAGTAAACAAGGTTAATTTTAAAACTTCATTCTAAAGCCAGGTTCTTTCTGTTAGCCTGTTGCTAGTGTTTTGAATTCTCTTGCTTCACTGCTCCAAGATACCTGCTCTCTGATGATAGCCCATTCACTTCCATGGATTAAATAGAAATTCAAAATACAAATTAGGAGAATGGACTCTGGTATGTTGTGAAGTAAGCAGAGTGAGGAGAATTAAAGAGTGATATGAAAATAATTGGTAATGTAAGAGAGGTGCTTTCCCTTAAAAACAGAAAGGGAGGCTGGGCGCAGTGGCTCATGCCTGTAATCCCAGCACTTTGGGAGGCCAAGGTGGGCAGATCACGAGGTCAGGAGATTGAGACCATCCTGGCCAACATGGTGAAACCCTGTCTCTGCTAAAAATACAAAAATTAGCCAGGGGTGGTGGCGGGCACCTGTAATCCTAGCTACTCAGGAGGCTGAGGCAGGAGAATGGCTTGAACCCGGTAGGCGGAGACTGCAGTGAGCCGAGATCACGCCACTGCACTCCAGCCTGGTGACAGAGCGAGACTCCCTCTGGAAAAAAAAAAAAAAAGAAGAAAAGGAAAGCAGGGAATGTACCACTGACAACAGGGTATTTTGACCTATTTTAAGAGGCCAGTTTGAAAACACTTTAAACTGATTCCAAGTAAACTCTCATTTATATATTCACCCATCTATGCAACACACACCTATTAGGTACCTATGGAGTGAAATACTTTGTGCTGTTGGAGATATAAAGATGAAGACTATGTACATAGACTCTAAGCATTTCAAAATTGACTGGCGACACGACGTCTCTAATTAATTTTACACTAGTGTCACAAGATGAACTAGATTGCTAAGGTGTGTGTGTATGTATAAAATAGCTGATTAATGGTTTTGAAATGAATCTTGCAAGATAGTGAAAAATGTAGTAAGACCTTTCCATTCTTACTATTCTGCTGCTCTGATCTTCTGGTGCTGCTAACTGAGACGCTTTGCATTTCTCCCAACATTCCGGTCTATCTAGAATCAAAGAATATTAATAGCTTTAAAAGACTGTTTCTTACTTCACTTTCAGGATGAGAAAACAGATTCAGATTAGGTTTCACATGGCATGCCTGAGGATCGAGCTAGTTTCGTGGCAAAACTGGAGGAGAAACCATCCTCCTGAAAACAAAGCATTATGCCTTCTTTGTCAGCCAGCTCTGTTGTCTTCCTAACCGCTGAGGTTCAGCTAATCATTGTTTCCATGAAATCTTCCCTTACCCTCCTCAAATAGATAAACTCCCCCTACCAGAGTGTTTTGTTCATGAGTCCATCTCACAGAAACTTTATTTTTTTAAGACAGGGTTGCCCAGCTTGAGAGCAGTGGTGAATCATAGCTCACTGCAACCTTGAACTCGGGCTCAAGCAATCCTCCCGCCTCAGCCTCCTGAGTGTGACACCACCTCAGGCTAAAAAATTTTTTTTGACAGTACTTTCTTCCCCAATTATTCTATTGGAGAATCTCAAGCCCCAGATAGAGGAATGTATGTCCTGGTCCCTGAGCTCTTTCTGCATGTGAGGGCAAAATGTAAAAAATGATGGCTACTGCATTTCACTTTGATAAAATGTCAGCTATTTTTGTTGATGTAGTCATTTTCTTCTGAAGTTGCAATTCTCCTAAAGTTGTGTCTTTATTACAAAATCCAACGAATACTTTCCTGTTCTTAACCTTTTTAATATTCCCTGTGACTTTTTTTCATATGTCCAGTTATTTGCCAAATGTTTAATGAGAATATACTATGTTCCAGACAGTGCATGAGATGATGGGGATGCAGTGGTGAGCAAAACTCATAAGTCCTATTATCAGATGATAGGACCCAGCAGCAAAGAAAGTCCAGCAATCACACAACCACAACAAAGCATCATAAATGCTATGCTGGAGGAACTGAGGGCACTTAATCTGGTCCATTGGATTAAAACCTAATCTGGGCCGGGCACAGTGGTTCACATGTATAATCCCAGCACTTTGGGAGGCCAAGGCAGGAAGATCTCTTAAAGCCAGGAGTTCGAGACCAGCCTGGGCAACAAAGAGAGACTCCATCTCTACAAAAAATTTTAAAATTAGCTGGGTGCAGTGGTGTGTGCTTGTAATCCCAGATACTCAGGAAGCTAAGGCAGGAGGATTGCTTGAGCCCAGGAGTTCAAGGCAGAAGTGAGCTGTGATGGTGCCACTACACTCCAGCCTGGGTGACAGAGCTGAGATCCTATCTCAAAACAAGGGAACAAACAAACAATAAAACCTAATCTGGTTCAGTAGAAGTGAAGTTAAAGTGAAATCTGAAGACTGAGATGTGAAGAAGACTAATTCAACAGGAGGAACAGGAAGGACTGGAGGCAAGGGAAAAACCGTATACTTTCAGGGAATTTAGATGCCCTCAGGCCTGGGCCACCATGGGGGAGGGCAGGCAGGTGAAAGATATTCCTGGATGCGGTTTTAGAAAAACATTTCTACTATGCCCTTTATTTTTTAATCTATGTCTTAAATTTTGTTGTTGTCTTATTCTAAATACCTTAAGGAGTAAAATTAAAAGAAAATCTATACTTTAGGTGAAAATAGTAAACTTTGCCCACGGGTAAATTATATGCAAGACACATTATTTCTGTAAAGCAATATCTTGACTCCTGATTAACATCATAAAATAGATAAGGTTTAACAACAGACCAATTGGTAATTGTATCTTCCTTTTATTTGAAACCAGTCAGCTCTAAATTATTCATCCTACCTAAAGAAGAGATATATACATAACCTAAAATGATCAATAACCCATATCATTTTTTTATTTCACTTTAGAATGTGCTTTGTAATTTAAACATTGGTATACCAAATTTAGGAATTCACTTAAAGCTATGCTACAGAAAAGGAACAACCCATAGTACCAAATCTTGTAACCCATCCCATATTGAACTGAAAGCATGTTTTAGGCCAGTATCAAGACTTAGTATGGCCAGGTGCAGTGGCTCAGGCCTGTAATCCCAGCACTTTGAAGGCCTAGGTGGGTGGATCACTGGAGTCCAGGAGTTTCAGACTAGCCTAGGCAACATGGTGAAACCGCATCTCTACAAAAACTACAAAAATTAGCACGGTGTGGTGGTGCGTGCCTGTAGTCCCAGCTACTTGAGTCTGAGGTGGGAGGATCCCTTGAGCCCAGGAGGTGGAAGCTGCAGTGAGCAGTGATCGCACCACTGAACTCCAGCCTGGGCAATGGAGGGAGACCCCACACCACCTTAAAAAAAGCCTCCACTGAGAGTAGCTTATCTCTTTCTTTACACTTTTCCCTATTGTTTTGAGTTTTTAAAAAACAAGCCAGAGTAGCTTTACTATTTTACGAGTAATAAAATATTTCTATTTGGAAAACCAAAGAGTAGAAGTAACCTCTTTCACTTCTTCCTAGAGAAGGTTCAGGTTCAGTTTATAGAGTGTGTCTGAGACAAAGTATAGTAAAACAAACAAAACCAGACAGTAGGCCAGGCGCAATGACTCACGCCTGTAATCCCAGCACTTTGGGAGGCTGAGGTGGGCAGATCACTTGAAGCCCAAAGTTTGAGACCAGCCTGGGCAACATGGCGAAACCCTGTCTCTACCAAAAATACAAAAATTAGCCAGGCGTGGTGGCTCGTACCTAAAATTCTAGCTATTTGGGAGGCTGAGGCTGCAGTGAGCTGAGATCGGGCCACTGCACTCCAGCCTGGGCAACAGAGCAAGGCTCTGTCACAAAAACAAAACAGAACAAAGACAGTAACAAAACATTAACAGAGCAGTGTAGTGTATGTGCTGTCATTCAGGTTTATATAGATCACTTGAATAATGACTATTTTCTAAAATATTTTGAGGAAAATACTAAAATGAAAATATTAAAATTTCAGCAAACAATGGAGAATAAAACAGATGTCATAGAACCAAAAAAAATTTTTCAGACTTTACTGAGATGATAAATATTTGATGCAGATCATTTATTACAATATTTATTTTCTAGCTGTATAAAGGCATGAAGATTCAGTGCTTTTATAATCCAAACTACAAGAGAGCAAGCACATTTGACAGTATCTTCACTTGAAATACTTAATATGCTAGAAATATTATATGAAGATTAAGGCAGAATCTTACTCAGAAAATCAGCTCACTAGTCCAGTCAGGACACGTTTTTATTTTTTTAACTTACTCAATAGTTGTATAGAGATGACAGAAATAGCTTGATATTATCAATTACTTCTAGCTATGGACTATTTTCAGATAAACAAAACTAGGAAGATGTAAGTTAATGGATTTATAAGTTAATGGATTTATACTTTTTTTTTTGATGGAGTCTTGCTCTGTCACCAGGCAGGAGTGTAGTGACGCGATCTTGGCTCACTGCAACTTCTGACTCCCTGGTTCAAGCGATTCTCCTGCCTCAGCCTCCTGCGCAGCTGGGATTACAGGCACGCGCCACCACGCCCAGCTAATTTTTGTATTTTTAGTAAAGATGGGGTTTCACCATGTTGGCCAGGACAGTCTTGATCTCCTGACCTCATGATCCACCCACCTCGGCCTCCCAAAGTGCTGAGATTACAGGTGTAAGCCACTGCACCCACCTGGCAGATTTATAACTCTTTATAGGTGGAAAAGGACTAAAAGAGTTATATCTTAAAACAGAAACTCTTAAATATGGTCTGCCATTGTTAGCTAAGGATGCATATTCATCAAATACTAACTTAAAATAATCTGAGAAAATAATGGGTGGGCCCTATGCCATTTGTAACTAATAACTGTTTAGTTTGTGTGAGGAATCTGTAACATGATGATGATTTTGCCTATATGATACCTGTTTTCAATTCTTAAAAAAACAAAAGAAACAACAACAAAAAAACCCCAAACATTCTGATTTTCTTGTTTAAAAAAATTGTTTTCATTTTAATGATCTGAGTTAGTAACAAACAAATGTACAAAATTGTCTTTCACATTTCCATACATTGTGTTATGGACCAAATGAAAACGCTGGACTACAAATGCAGGTTTCTTTATATCCTTAACTTCAATTATTGTCACTTATAAATAAAGGTGATTTGCTAACACATGCATTTGTGAACACAGATGCCAAAAATTATACATGTAAGTTAATGCACAACCAAGAGTATACACTGTTCATTTGTGCAGTTATGCGTCAAATGCGACTGACACAGAAGCAGTTATCCTGGGATATTTCACTCTATATGAAAAGCATCTTGGAGAAATAGATTGAAATACAGTTTAAAACAAAAATTGTATTCTACAAATACAATAAAATTTGCAACTTGCACATCTGAAGCAACATTTGAGAAAGCTGCTTCAATAACCCTGCTGTTATATTGGTTTTATAGGTATATCTCCAAAGTCATGGGTTGGGATATAGCTGCTTTAAAGAAAATAAATATGTATATTAAAAGGAAAATCACACTTTAAAAATGTGAGGAAAGCTTTGAAAACAGTCTTAATGCATGAGTCCATCTACATATTTTCAAGTTTTGGAAACAGAAAGAAGTTTAGAATTTTCAAAGTAATCTGAAAACTTTCTAAGCCATTTTAAAATAAGATTTTTTTCCCCATCTTTCCAATGTTTCCTATTTGATAGTGTAATACAGAAATGGGCAGTTTCTAGTGTCAACTTAACTGTGCTAATTCATAAGTCATTATACATTTATGACTTAAGAGTTCAAATAAGTGGAAATTGGGTTATAATGAAAATGACAAGGGGGCCCCTTCAGCAGCCACTCATCTGAACTAGTAATAAACACCAACACAAAATGATTTTTTATATTAAATTTTTTTTAGATCTCTAAAGGTAGGAAAATCCAATCTTTCTTAAAAATACTTTCCTGGGTTGTGGCAACATGTGCTTTACCTCTTTAACTCTACCTAAAACCTAAAGTTATTTCTATAGTATAAATTTCAAACTCCCTGGCAAGGAATGTAAATGCTAACCAGCTAGGTATTTATAGTCATGCGCCGCATTACAACTTTTCAAAGACAGACCGCGTATTTGACAGTGGTCCCGTAAGATTATAATACCATATTCTTACTGTATGTTTTCTATGTCTAGATACACAAATACCATTGTGTTACAACTGCCTACAGTATTCAGTACAGTAACATGCTGTACAGGTTTACCATATAGCCTGGGTACGTTGTGGGCTATGCCACCTAGGTTTGTGTAAGTACACTAGGATGTTCGCACAACGGAATTGCCTAACAATGCATTTCTCAGAATGTATCCCTGCTGTTAAGCAACGCATGACTGTATTTAACTTCATACAAAGCGATAACTCATGGACGGCTGTCATAATAACATTTCCACTTTTCTCTAAGGCCTGAGGTTGACATCTTTGCCTATGCTCTATGGATCAAATGAGAGAAGATGATGCATCTACACAATAGGGTCTCTTTGAGGCAGTATCATAGACTTGGCCTCCCATATTATGAAAACCTTTGTTGTACTAAAATGAATACAACTGCAAGCAGTTTGAGGGCAACTGCAGTGCCAAAGGAAATGGGTTATTTTCTATGGGAAATGTAAGATTCATCTTAAGGAAACATCTTTGTTTGCCACGAGGCATATCATGAAGAAAATGTGGCTAGTGAATTCAAACATCGATTCCAAGAGCTACCTAAATTAAGGTGGCTTTAAAAAATATTTAAATTATCAATGATTTAGGAACGTAGGCTGGAAGAGTAATATAAAGATGTATATTTACAATGCCACATTAGGAAATGTAGTTCCCTACTCTGCACTTTGGAAACGAAAGACATCAATTCTGTCCAGAGTCAATACTATCATATGGCTGCTTCCTACTCCTCTCCACTTGGAAAATTCATTTTATGATGCTCCCACTGTTGATACTCTGCATCTCTCATATGAGTTAGGCAAAATGAATCTAATAGGTTACTTTTGTTTTCAAAATAAACCACCCAAACAGGTTTTTTAAAACTTTCAAAAATGGAACATTTAACCCTTGAGAGAAACTTCCATTACTGAGTACCTAGTCTAATGGCAAGTACAGTATTAAGGATTATTGCTTTTAATAAGATAACCATCAGAAATAAATATGTAAGCTTAACTCAAATACTCATTTTTCACCCAATGCTACAATGTTTTATTCTCAAATCAAATCACATTACCTTCAATTCTTTGCCAGTTTACTGAGGTTTTAAGTATAAAAAGTTGGCCTGTTAACTCAAAAGCAAGACAATAGCAATATCCGCGTGTCTTATTTGGGCATTGAGCAGTAACACTGCTTTCTTGATAGGATTTAAGGCACTAAATGGTGGTAAAATAAACAAAAGGATGATGATTAACTTCTTTAGAATCCTAAAAAAGGAGATAGTTTAGAATGACACTAGTACATCTTTTTCTCAAACAAATAAGGCATCCTGTTGGCAAACACAAATAAAACACAAGGTCATGTTGAACCTAATACATTCACTGTCTCAGCTAAACTACTTGAAACGCTACCTATCAAACCTAAGAAAGCTACAATAGTGTGTATAAAGGCTGGAAAGGCACCAAAAGGAGAGCTCTACAACTTCCAGTTCTAAGAGTTAAGGAAGCTGTGTTTAACACTGCAAATAGTCTAATTATCAGTTTTATTCTTCAAAATGTAAATGTAGTTAGATTTTTACCTCAACAAGTTAATCAAGTGCTAGTTTAGTAAGAAGTTTATTTTATGAATTAGAAAATTACTGCAGTGTCTAACACAGCCCTATTTATAAAGCTAAACTAATTCTAGTACTGAATGCATATTCTGGATAACACTGAAGCAAATCTGTATGAAAAAAATGGTTACCTCAAGATAGAATTCACATTAGAAATTCAACATATAACTAAGATTTACTGAAAATAACAAAAGGTGTTGTAGAGATATATCAAACGTAATTATAACCACAACATTTTCCTTGTGAAAAATACAACTATCAGTGAAATAAAATGTACAATTGAAAATTTTCCAAAGGAAAAAACAGTATAAACGAAAATACTTTTCTTTGCGATAGGGAAAATAGTATGTCATTGTTTTTTTATCACAATATAATTTGACACAAAAAGCAGTCAGAGAATTGCACCAATTCCACATCCAGTTTCCTGAACATGTTAAGAGTAAAAGGAGTCTGTAAAGCAGAATAGTTTCCAAATTTTATATTTTAAATTGATGATATTCTTATACAGGATGTCACACCACACCAGACCTCTTTACATAATGTACAGTATTTCTGGTTTTGTGGCCAGATGTGAGTACAAACATATGGTTTCTGCCACTTCTCTGTCATTCTGGTGTTTAGCCGGAGTCAGAAAAAAAAAATCGTTACTTTAAGTGTTACTTCTCTAGCAATAAAAAAAAATTATACTTAGTGCATGCTTCATCATTTGTCAAAAAATGTTTCTGAAAATATGACTCAAGTTACCCAATGGTTTACAAAATAGAAAAATCATTCATTAGGGTAAAAATGTGGTGGGATTTAGGTCCATTTCCAGAGGACTAACTTCGTTCCTAAAGGCCGCACCACTGTCCTTCAGCAGAGGTGGTAATGACAGTTCCATGATGGAAGCGGCCGGCCTGCAGAAGGCCACTACTTGACATCTGATTATCTTTGACCACCCCATATCTGCCATTTCATTAGTGCTATAAAAAGATGGGATTTTTGTGGAAAAGTCAGGAACATTTCTGCTGTACATGATTTAGAAGTTCTCCAAATTTTTCAAAGAGGTCCTCCACCCATTTTACATTTTTCATACAAAGTTGAACAATTTCCTCCTGTCCTAAATCTTCATTTTTTTTCTGCACCGAAGAAATCTAAAAAAAGAAAATCGCCAAATTAGCTTATACTTATCACATCATATTTAAGTTCAACTACAAGTACTGGTATTTTATTTTTTTCTTAATCCTATCCATGGAGAATGATTATTTCAGCTAAATTTGGGTGAGATCTCATCCTCTCATCTTTGGCTCCAAGGTGGCAGAAAGGAAGGCTAGAAAAAGTACTTCAGACTTTCTCCATTTCTTCCAATTACGTTAAAAGTCAAATGACAAATTTTGGAGTCGATTCTGCATTTTAGAGCATTGTAAAAACAGTGAACCTATGTTGCATCACCATCTTTGCTTTCTCTTTTGCTATATAAAGGTTAGATTTATGAGCATCTTTCCATACCAGACTACTGTCAAACACATTAGATATAGCCTTGGACCCTTTATAATGAAAAGAAGTGATAGTGCTGGTCAAATAAGGTAGTATTGTCTACAACCATTTAGCATGGCTGTGGAAATTAATGCTTATATCCCATCCATGAGGTGATATTTTGTCATGTATAATCTCTGAACAACTTAAAAGCTACAATTAAATTTTAACTTTCAGTTTTTCATGCCAAGGCACAAAACCCCACTTCTCTGCAATTAAGTGGGATAAGGCCATTCTAAGTAATAAGTAAGGCAGTGAGATGTCAAAGCAGTGACTGAAGTGAATTAAAGCAAGATCATCATACACTGTGAGAGAACAAAATGCAATAAAACATCATTTATTATGGCGATGTAAAGCAAGCACCAACAGCTTCAAAACATTACCAATTATAGCTCCTACAAGAGGTGGTGAGGCTCGGGTAAATCTGAGCACAAAACATAGCAGAGAGACTCAGAACAATAAATCAAGTCATTATTTACAGAATACATAGACAAAATACATACACACATGTATTTCACAACTCTCTTTAAAACACTCCAAAATACTATGGCTAGAGTCTCCTTAACATTCTGAAAAACATTTTTTTTAAGTAAATGAGAAGAAATTACCTCATCCTTACATATCAGATAAACATGGTACTTATAATGATGGAGTGAATGATACAAAGAATACAACTGTATTTTCTCTGGATCGACAGCAAACTCCTATAAAAAGAAAAAAGTTTATAGATACATTTCATGGAGTATCTGAGCTAAGAACACTTTGAGGAAAATACTAGATCAAAAGTCTCAATGGCAATGTTGAAAATGACATATATGGGTAGGTATTCAGTTGGGTTAATATGGAGAGACTTATTCAAAATAAGAATTTAAATTATATTTTAAAATCTTATTCTTTATCCTGCATATAAATATGCATTATTGAAAAAACTTAAGCATTATAGGAAAATTTAAACAATAAACATATGAGATGATTTATAAAATAAAAGCTCCCTATAATCTCCTGCTTCAGAGCTAAACAAAGCTAATGGCATGTTATATATTTTTTAATGTTTTCCCCCAGGTATAACATGTATGTTAATAACACTAATTTTGTAATGAGAAGGGAATCACACTATACATATTGTCTAGCAACTTTTCTTCTTTCTTCCAACGTGTTTTTTGACCTAACTAATAATTGGCTATCTTTTCATTTAGTACATATAGCTGTCCCTCCCCATCCTCCCCAAATACAAACTATATGAGGGTAAGGACTTTTAACCAGTTTTCACTGTTGTATCTCTAGTACTTAGAACTGTACTTGGCATACTATAGGCACTCAAAAAAATTTTTCTGAAAGAATGAACAAATCTATCTCTTCTTTATAAAAAGCACGTAGTATGACATTACGTGGCTCTTCATTTATCTAACCTCACACTGGTGGTACATAATTGGATTGCTCTTACAAACAATTCCACAATGAGCAAAGGTATGTATTTTTATGCATTTCTGAATCTATTTCTACAGAATACTTTTTTTTTTTTTTTTGAGACAGTGTCTCATTCTGTCACCCAGGCTGGAGTGCAGGGGTGCAATCACAGCTCACTGCAGTCTCAATTCCCTGGACTCAAGCGATCCTCCCACTCAGCTTCTCAAGTAGCTAGGACTACAGGTGCATGGCACCATGCCTGGCTAATTTTTTTTTCTCCCCCCAGGGTAGACATGGGGCCTTGCTTTGTTGCCAAGACTGGTCTCGAACACCTGGACTCAAGTGATCCTCCTGCCTCAGCCTCCCAAAGTGCTGGGATTATAGGCTTGAGCCATTGTGCTTAGCCCTGAATACATTTTTGCTGTGAAGTTGATATGTTGCCAAACTGTTTTCTGAAAAGGTTATAACAATTTATACTATGTTTGAAGATGAACAAATTCCAATTTTAATGACTTTGCAGATATGAAATAAACATTTCATCTTTTTATGGAATGTGTTCTGCACACTTACTTATCTATGTGCATGCATATACAATTAAAAATATACCTATATTACAAGTAATGCATATGTTAATGAGTTTGAATTAGCCATTTCACAATGTACACACATTTCAAAACATTTTGTACATAATATATGCAATTTAAAAAATGAAAAACTACCTACAAATATATAAACATGAGCACGAGATGATTTCTTCCATATTAGTCAATTTAAGAAATTTGTGAGCACATATTATATGCCTGATACTGTGCTATAGAAAAACAATAAACCACCATGCGTCCCTGTTCCTCAGGCCAGTGACGCTTATTCCTACCTGAAAAACCTTCACACTTAATGACAACATAGTAAAATATTTGCTTGTTTCAATGTTTTAAGTAGGAATTGTATTAACAATTGGAAAAGGTATAGTTACATTAATAATCAATTACACTTACTTGTGCAGATTTGGTGGTTGTTTTAGAAGTCCTTAGAGTTTTCTTATTATAGGCTTTGCCATTCATTTTGATTTTAGAAATAGCAGTTCCTCCACTCTTTGCTTTAGAATCTCGAGTAATTATTGTTAGTTCAGGAAAACTTTCCAAAGCATTCTGGAAAACAATGAAGCAAAATAACTGACACCAGAAGAAAACTAACCTAAACTACTTCTAGCTATCTAAAATTTAGAAGTGTGTGTGCACACAAACACCTATTTGCAGAGAGGTGTGTGTGCACACAAACACCTATTTGCAGAGAGGTGTGTGTGTACTGATGGGATATGCATACATATACATACACAGGTTGGGGTTTAAACATGGTCATAAGCTCTTTGCAGCCCTTCCTATTGGATATGTAATCTATTTCCCTTAAATCCCTTAAATCTGAGCCAACTCTATGACCTGCTTATTTAAGCAACAGCACACCACACTGGGAACCCTTAACAGGGCCAAGAGTTCTTTCTAGTAATGTCTCTGGCTTCAAGGCAGGAGAAAGGAAGACATACATGTTTCACTAAAGCCCTACCACTTAAACCACTGCTTGCCCCGTGAAATGTGGCTGGGCCTTGCTATAAAGAAGTCATCTGCCTCTGGTGAAGATGACGACAGAGGAGAAGCGGCACTGTAGTGCTTCTCTGGCTTCACTCTTCTCTTGCTTATTTTGACTGCAAGACAAGTACTTGTAAGATAAGATCCTAAAACAGAGCATGATGGGTTTTTTGACAGTGGTTATGTGGCAAAACCAATTCCACTCCATCCTTTAAAAGCCACTGGTGGCCAGGAATGGTGGCTCATGCCTGTAATCCCAGCACTTTGGGAGGCCAAGGTGGGCAAATTACTTGAGGCCAGGAGTTCGAGACCAGCCTGACCAACATGGCAAAACCTTGTCTCTACTAAAAATACAAAAATTAGCTGGGTGAGGTGGTGCACACCTGTAATCCCAACTACTCAGGAGGCTGAGGTAAGAGAATCGCTTGAACTCGGGAGGCAGAGGTTGTACTGAGCTAATATCATGCCACTGCACTCCAGTCTGGGTGACAGAGAGAGACTCTATCTCTAAATAAATAAATAAATAAATAAATAAATAAATAAATAAATAAATAAGCCACTGGCCTATTTATGCCCTTACCTACTTGGCAAATCATTCTGCCTGACTGAAAAGCTACAAACAATAACTGAATGATACTTGTGGCAACATTTAACTAGTTTGATTATGACTTTATAAAAATTAAATCGAGCTCCTACCATCATTTATTATTTTGACACTAAAAATGTTGAAGTCCTCCTATTATATTTATGATTCAGAATGCAGTCCAAATTCGATAAGCGCAAGTGTTTTATAAACAGTTACAACCTTTAAAGCCACTCTTCTCCAAACTCATCTATTGTTTCCAAGCACCTGGTATTGGGGCCCTGAAAACAGTACTGTTTTGTTTTTTTTTTTTTTTGAGATGGAGTCTTGCTCTGTCATCCAGGCTAGAGTGCAGTGGCGTGATCTCGGCTCACTGCAAGCTCTGCCTCCTGGGTTCACGCCATTCTCCTGCCTCAGCCTCCCGAGTAGCTGGGACTACAGGCGCCTGACACCACGCCCGGCTAATTTTTTGTATTTTTAGTAGAGATGGGGTTTCTCTGTGTTAGCCAGGATGGTCTCGATCTCCTGACCTCATGATCCGCCCACCTCGGCCTCCCAAAGTGCTGGGATTTCAGGCGTGAGCCACCGCGCCAGTCCCGAAAACGGTACCTTTTTAAAAACAGGCAACCTAAATTTTTCTTAGTATAAGTGTAGAAGGGCACTAAATTTCATTTGATAGAAACAATAACACTTTTGGCATTTTCTACCACAGTGAGCTACCATCACGTTCGAGCTTCGTTCCTTTCTCAGATTATTTGTGCACTTATCATGTACTCTGGTGTTTTCTATTTAAAACATGCACCTTGACAATTTTTGGATCCAGAATTATTATTTGCAACAAATAGAATTTAAAGTCTAAAGATTCTAAATTTGGAAACAACACACACTAAGTCAGTGGAGATGAAAGAAGAAAATTTAAATCTTTCCAATGACCACAAAATGCTTAAGATGATCTGAAGTACACAGATTTCAGAAAAAGGCAGAACATCATTACCTTGAAAAAGCTTCAGGACTCCTAACATCACCAAGATCAACATAGGAAAGCACACTAATTATTTCTAAAGAACAGAAAAATCTTTCTTTCTCTACTATTTGTAATATTTTACTTCAGATCAGTCTAACTCTTAATATTATGTAATTTTGCTTTGAAATGCAAATTGCTAAGGCTGGGCATGGATTACACCTGTAATCCCAGCACTTTGGGAGGCAGAGGCAGGCAGATCACTTGAAGTCAGGAGTTCAAGACCAGCCTGGCCAACATGGTGAAATCCTGTCTCTACTAAAAATACAAAAATTAGCCAGGCCATCCCAGCCACTCCAGAGACTGAGGCAGGAGAGGAGGAGGTTGCAGTGGGCGGAGATCGCGCCACTGCACTTCAGCCTAGGAGACAGAGCGAGAGTCTGTCTCAAAAAAAAAAAAAAAAAAAAAAAAGCAAATTGCTTTATATGACAATTATCAAAATTAATAACTAATAACAGAATTAGAAATCTTGTTAGAGAACTGGTTTGACATTTCAACAGTGATTAGCCAAACCTGGTAATTTTTAAGATTTAGTAAATCTTTAGAAAACACCTATCTAAAAATGTTCCCTTGTCTCCACAAAATATAGTATTTCACAAGAGAATATTTCATTTATTTAAAGGCAGCAGTTAAGCAGAAAACACTGGGCTAGGGCTGGGTGCCGTGGCTCATGCCTATTAATCCCAGCACTTTGGGAGGCGGAAGTAGGCGGATCACTTGAAGTCAGGAGTTCGAGACCAGCCTGACCAACATGGTGAAACCCTGTCTCTACTGAAAACACAAAAATTAGCCAGATGTGGTGGTGCATGCTTGTGGACCCAGCTACTTGGGAGGCTGAGGCAGGAGAATCTCTTGAACTCAGGAGGTGGAGATGGCAGTGGGCTGAGATCACACCACTAGACTCCAGCCTCGGCGAAAGAACAAGACTCCATCTCAAAAACAAAAACGAACAAACAAAAACTGGACTAGGAGTCAGGAGACCAAATTCTTAGTACTGGATTTCTTACTAGCTTCTAAATTTTTTTTCTTCCTGCGAATACATGGCAGTGAAGAATACATGACTACTATGATAGTTTTGTGTCATTTAATTTTGAATGCAATCTAATGGCCTCAGTTTTCACCTAATTGAAATGAAGTCAATACTCACTTTTACATGGAGTTCACATAAAACAGGGATGTGAACAAGTTATACAAATGTATAATATTGTTACCATCAATTAAAAAATGTTCCCTAAGGTAGATATAACCAAATGATTCTTGATGTGATATTATACTTTGAATAAGAAAGGCTACGGAGTAATCATTCTGTGATTCTCTCCCATGTGCACGTTAATAAATTTGCATGCCTTTTCTCCAACTGAAATAAAAAGCTCGGCCGGGTGCAGTGGCTCACGCCTGTAATCCCAACACTTTGGGAGGCCAAGGTGGGCGGATCATCTGAGGTCAGGAGTTCGAGACCAGACTGGCCAACATGGTAAAATCCTGTCTCTACTAAAAATACCAAAATTAGCCAGGTGTGGTGGTGGGCACCTGTAGTCCCAGCTACTCAGGAGGCTGAGGCACAAGAACTGCTTGAACTCAGGAGGCAGAGGTTGCAGCGAGCCAAGGTTGTGCCACTGCAATGTAGCCTGGATGACAGAGCTAGACTCTGTCTCAAAAAAAAAAAAAAAAGAAAAGAAAAGAAAAAAAGCTAGAAATTTTTAAACTACCAAGTTAGCTTCTATGAAAAATTATCTGAGTTGAGTTTAGATTAGCTTTTTCTATATTTCTGATAACACCAAAACCAACTTATATTGCCAAGATATATTAACATATAGAATTATATACATTTCCTACCCTTATAAAAATCAGCGTTTCCTCTGATATTGAATAAATGAGGCAAGTACGGTGAATTTTGATAACTGTGCTAAGGAAAAGCTAATTTTAATTACAGACAAAATGTAAAAATTTTGAAAAGCGTTAAAAGAACATTTGGAAATTATTTTATAGAAGATATAATAGATAACTATAAATGCCTAAAAAA
Organism: Homo sapiens; assembly: GCF_000001405.40. Lineage (NCBI taxonomy): Eukaryota > Metazoa > Chordata > Mammalia > Primates > Hominidae > Homo > Homo sapiens. Next base: position 32,969,334 of record NC_000011.10, on the reverse strand, counting down.
TAAATTTAAGTGGAGAAAAGCAAGTGATTAACACTAAGCAGACAAACTAAATGGACTTACAATGAATAAAAGCCAAATTTTCATTAGGTGAAAAATGTTGTAAGTGAATAATTTTCATAAATTTCCTTCCTATTATACTTAAGACTATGACTGCCATTGAGTTTTGCTAATAAGTCATCAGAAGGAAATACCTTGAATGATTGATCCAAATGAAGATTCAAAAGAAGTCTCTTTCGGTTATCATTTAGCATGCCATCTATTTTTTTCATATGAGGTAAAAGTAGCTCATCTGAAACAACATTATAATTTAACAGGATAAACTATCAATAAATATTTTTGAAAAAAATCCAACTTTTTCTCAAAACATTTATATATTAAAATACACTAAATTCATTGGCATATGTAAAATACTGATTGCAAAAAAATTGGACATGAAGCTTTCTGAACAAAGGTTAACTTGAAAAGTAGGTTTATAGTAGCAAGTGAGAAAGAGGCAGCTCAGTATGATGATGGGATGAGCACTACATGAGGATCCAAAGTTCTAAGTTTTAGCTGAACTACAACTGCTGGATAAACTAGAACTGGATTTTAACTGAATAGAACTGATATGTGGCAGCTATGTGACGAATAGGCAAGCTGCCTAATTCCTCCAGACCTCATTTACCCTCTGAACAATCTGAACAATTACAAAATACAAACTGATCTAACAAAACACTGAGTATGACCAAGGGATATTAAGTCACTTTAACTTGAAGCAAAGAAAAAGTAGGGGAAGAAAAATGATCAAAACCCAGTACCAAAAATATGAATCAAAATAGTTATTTTAGAAAAAGAGGGGAGAGTAAAATTATGACAAAGATTCCTATTCAAAGCTTTTGGCTTTCAGTGTCACCACTCTGAACTTTAAGCTCCATTAAGAAAAGTACTTTTAGAATATAATTAGTTTTGGTGTAGCATTAAACATTTTAGATTATTAGATTCTTTCTTAATTTACCAGCATAGTACTTTATTATATTTTATAATACTAACTGCCTCTAATAACCTTCTGAAAAAAAACAACAACCCAGAATCCAGGTCACAAGTTTCACAGCTAAGTAAAATGATTGTTTACATAGTCTTTCTATTAGTGATTCAATCTGTTCTAATACTGTATTTACATTCTACAAAAGTAAGTTTTAAACATTTGTGATTTAAAAATAATCTTAAAAAATTTTCTCCCCTTAGAGAAAAATCAGAAAACACTGATAAGCAATTTTTAAAAATCTTTCAAAATACAACTATACAGAAATGACTACTACAAAGAGAAGCATATTTTATGATGCAAGGAATATAACATTTAATAGCAAAAATGCTGACCTGGGATTAGCTGAGTTTTAATCATGGTTCTTCAACCTCTAACCTGTTCTTTAACTTTAATCTCTTTTGAACTTTAGTTTACAAAATAAATGTTTCAGACTAGGTAATATCTAAAGTCCCTTCCAGCTCCTAATTACTTGAAAATGACTGATATACAGGTTACTGTCTCTGATTAGGTGGTAAGAAAAGCACTAGACCAGAAATTAGAAGACTTTAATTTTAATCCTTTCTCTGCCAGTTTCAAGTTTGTGGGCCCTTAAGCAAGTCACTTAACCTCTCTGAACCTGTCTTAATCCACAAAATGGCTGTCTAAGTTGTTTTAAGGTTAAATTAGAATATATGTCTAAGTATGTGAACATAATAAAACAGTATATAGTCATGCACTGCATAATGACATTTTTGACAATGACAGACCACATATACAATGGTGGTTCCATAAGACTATAATGCCATATTCTTACTGTACCTTTTATTTTCTTCTTTAAAAAAAACTTTTTAAAAATTTCAATAGCTTTAGGGGTACAGGTGGTTTGGGTTACATGGATGAGCTGTATAGTGGTGAAGTCTGGGATTTTAGTGCATCCATCACCCAAGTAGTGTACATTGTACCCCATAAGTAGTTTTTCATCCCTTACCCCTTTCTCACCCTCTCCCCTTCTGAGTCTCCAATGTCCATTATACCACGCTGCCTTTGTGTACCTATAGCTTAGCTCCCACTTATAAGTGAGAACATGTGATATTTGGTTCTCCATTCCTGAGTTACTTCAGTTAGAATAATGACCTCCAGTTCCACCCAAGTTGCTGCAAAAGACATTATTTTGCTCTTTTTTATGGCTGAATAGTATTCACTATATTTTCTTTATTCACTCATCGGCTGATGGGCACTTTCCATATCTTTACAGTTGTGAACTGTGCTGCAATAAACACATGTGCAGGTGTCTCTTGGGTATTATTTATTTTCCTTTATGTAGATACTCAGTACTGGGACTGCTGGTGAGAATGTAAATTAGTGCAACTGCTATGGAAAACAGTATGGAGATTTCTCAAATAACTAAAAGGAATAATATTAATTGGTATAACCCAGTGCATTTACTGGTTTAATACTAATTTTAACTGATTAGAAAATAATTGCTATGATGTATCTTTTACAAAAGATACAAGTATATGATTTTAATCTTTATGCCACTTTTATCTGGTTCATCTTTCCAATTATTGGAAAATAAAATATACTGACATACAGACCTTTCATGTAATACTAACACTTAGTAAACTATTTATGAGGATGATTAGATTCTAGAATTGGAAGAAACTGGTTAGAAGCTATACAATTTTCCCATGAGTAGAAAGCAATAAAAGTTCAAATATTCAGAGAATGCATGAAAAGATATGACCATTTTATGGAATTAAGATGCTATATATTTAACTGACAATTTATAGGTATATATTACACAAGTCACATATAAACATATAACTAACAGACAAGATTTCTTTTTTTAATTCCAGGAAGTACTACCAAGGAAGTACTACTTAGAAGACTGTACCATTGCTCTTCTCTAAGGCTTGCATTGTGTCAGGGTCCAAGGCAATGCTAACAAGCAATTCCATGTAGCTCTTAAAGGTTTCCTTCATTGCTCTTGTGTTCAAAAAGCGAGTGACAAAGGGAGCGGGAGGTTCAAATTCTGGGAGGGAGAAAGGGTTAAATATTAAATTTTCCTTCCTGACAATTTTAAAAACACTTTTCTCTATAACGAGACCCTAGAAGCAGATTGCAGATACAATTTCTTCAAATTCAAGACTTTCTCACCTTACCTTTAAAAGGTCTGAGGTTCTCAAAGCTGGTTTGCACATGACAATGACTGAAGAGCTTTGTTAACAATAGAACAAAAACCAGATTGCTGGACTTCCTAAAACAGAATCTTTGGTAGTGGTGGTGGTCGTGGTAGGGTGATGAAGCTTAAGTATTATGCTCTTAAAAAGCTTCCTAGGTGATTCGTGTGTGTGTGTGTGTGTGTGTGTGTGTGTGTGTGTGTGTGTTTTGAGACAGAGTTTCACTCTTGTTGCCCAGGCTGGAGTACAATGGCGCCATCTTGGCTCACTGCAACCTCCGCCTCCTAGGTTCAAGCAATTCTCCTGCCTCAACCTCCCGAGTAGCTGGGATTATAGGTACACACCACCATGCCTGGCTAATTTTTTTAGTAGAGAGGGGGTTTCACCATGTTGGCCAGGCTGGTCTTGAACTCCTGACCTCAGGTGATCTGCCTGCCTCAGCCTACCAAAGTGTTGGGATTACAGGCGTGAGCCACCACGCTTGGCCCTTCCTAGGTGATTCTGAAGCCCAACACCAGAAAAAGTAGACTGGGTAAGAAACTATTTGTCTTCTGCTGGATCCCACCACAGACATCTGCTGCTAGGTGGTGCTACTGTAGTCTTGATGGTTTCTCTGTTTAGTAGTAAAGAAATTGTATGACATCCAATGTATGAGTAATACATAGATTTCCTTTTTATTCCTAGACATAAATTACTATAAAATTCTTGCCTAGGATGTATTAAAAATGTTTAAAGTATGGCAGGTGCAGTGGCACGTGCCTGTAATCCCAACACTTTGGGAGGCCAAGGTGGGAGGACTGCTTGAGCCCAGGAGTTTGAGACCAGCTTGGGCAACATAGTGGGACATCGTTTCAATTAAAAAAAATATAAATTAGCCACGTGTGTGGTGGCATGTACCACTATTCCCAGCTACTCAAGAGGCTGAGGCGGGAGGATTGCTTGAGTCCCGGAGGTTGAGACTGCAGAGAACTGTGACTGCGCCACTGCACTCAAGCATGGGAAACAGAGTAAAGACCCTGTCTCATAAAGAAAAAGAAAAAAAGAAAAAAATCATTTTAATGTAAACACAGCCTGTGCACAGAGAAAATTTCATTCAAATCCAATGGAAAGAACTATGACATTAACTTGTTGGGTGCAGTGGTGCACACCTGTAGTCCCAGCTACTTGGGAGGCTGAGGTGGGAGGATTGTTTGAGCCTGGGAGTTCAAGACCAGCCTGGTCAATATAGCAAGACTCCATCTAAAAAAAAAAAGTTTGTTTCAATTTTGACTTTTTGTATTCAAATATATAATCAAGTCACACCCTTAAATAGCAGTTTTTAAAATATTTTTAATGTTGTGGGTATATAGTGTGCGTTTATGTGTGTGTATGTGTGTGTGTGTGTGTGTGTGTGTGTGTGTGTGTGTGTGTGTATATATATATATATATATATATGGTGTTTTTTTTTTTTCTTAGAGATAGGGTTTCACTATGTTGCCCAGGCTGGTCTTGAACTCTCAGCCTCAAGTGATCCTCCTGTCTCAGCCTCTGAAAGTGCTGAGATTAGCTGTAAGCCACCGTGCCTGGCCTATAGTAGGTGTATGTATTTTAAATAGCAGCTGTTAAAGTAACTGTACCCCAGGGGGGACCCCAAGACCCTTTTGGTGGTCTCTGATATCAAAACTGTTTTCATGATAATATTAAGATACTATGTACTTTCTTCACTGCATTGCCATTTGCAAAACTACTACTGGGTAAAATTGATGGTGCCTTACCCCACGAATCAAGGCAATGACAACAAACTGTACTAACAGTAATATACTTTGCATGACTTTGTCATGTCACTCACTACCATGTATTTGGAGGGGGAAAAAGTTTCACTTAGGAATAGTCCTAGGGGCTGGGCATGGTGGCTCACACCTATAATACCAGCACTTTGGGAGGCCAAAGTGGGAAGATTGCTTGAGGTCAGGAGTTCAAGACCAGCCCAGGCAATATAGTGAGATCCTGTCTCTACAAAAAAAAATTTTAAGTTAGCTAGGTGTGGTGGCATGCGCCTGTAGTACTAGCTGCTTGGGGGCCTGAAGTAGGAGGACTGTTTGAGCCCAGGAGTTCAAGGCTGCAGTGAGCTAAAAAGGTGCCACTCTACTCCTGCTGGTGATAGAATAAGACCCCATCTCTTAATTAACAACCAGAACAGTCTTAGGGCCAGGTGAGGTGACTCATGCCTATAATCCCAGCACTCTGGAAGGCTGAAGCAGGACAATGGCTTGAGGCCAGGAGTTTAAAACTAGCTTGGGCAACATAGTAAGACCCAGTCTCTACAAAAAACTTTAAAATTAGCTGGGCATGGTGGTGCATACCTGTAGTCAGTCCTAGCTACTTGGGGGACCGAGGTGAGAAGATTGCTTGTGCCAGAAGTTTGAGGTTACAGTGAATTATGATTACACCATGCACTCCAGCCTGGGTGACAGAGTGAGACCTCTCTCTAAATATACAAAATTTAAAAAGAGCCTGGGCAAGGCTGGATGCGGTGGCTCATGCACGTAATCCCAGCATTTTGGGAGGCCGAGGCGGGTGGATCACGAAGTCAAGCATTCAAGACCAACCTGGCCAACATAGTGAAACCCCATCTCTACTAAAAATACAAAAAAGTAGCCAGGCATGATGGCGGGCGCCTGTAATCCCAGCTACTCGGGAGGCTGAGGCAGGAGAATCGCTTGAACCTGGGAGGCGGTGCAGTGAGCCGAGATCGCGCCACTGCACTCCAGCCTGGACGATAGTGCGAGACTCCGTCTCAAACAAACAAACAAACAGAGCCTGGGCAACATGGAAAAACCTTGTCTCTACTAAAAAATACAAAAAAATTAGCGCCTGTAGTCCCAGATACCCAGGAGGCTGAGGTGAGAGGATCACATGAGCCTGGGATATTGAGGTTGCAGTGAGCCTTGTTTGTACCACTGCACTCCAGCCTGGGTGACAGAGTGAGACCTTGTCTCAAAAAAAGATAAAACAAAATAAAAATTAATAGTCCTTGACGAAGAAGTAATTATTAATTTTATGAAATTTCTATTCTTGAATAGATGTCTTTTTAATATTCTGTGTGATGAAATAGCAGGTACACATAAAGCACTTCTGCATAAATATAATGGGTATGACCAGGAGGAGCACCCATACAGTTGTGTGAGTTACAAGATAAACTAGCCATTCTTTCCCCCAAGAAAACAAGATTTTTATTTGAAAGAATGACTGACAGATACACTATGCCTATCCAGACTTGGGTATTTGGCAGACCTTAATTTATTCTTAAAAATAAATTAAGAGAATCTGCTCATTCAAGGAAAACAACTGATGGTATTTGTTGCCAATGATAAAATTTGAGATTTCAAGTGAAAATTAGAGTTCTGGACATCTTCTATCCCCACTGTGAGTCTGAGCTTCCCAATTTGTAAAGACTTCATTAATGAGATCATTCATAGAATTGATGAGTGCTATTTTTTGATAGTGTAAAATGAAATATCTGACCTTAAGAGCTAGAACCATAAAACTCTTAGAAGAAAATGTAGGAGTAAATATGTCCTTGGATTTGGCAATGGATTCTATGTGAACAAAAGCTGAGTAACAAAAGAAAAAATAAGTAAATTGGGCTTCATCCAAATTTAAAACTTTTGTGCATCAAAGGATATTATCAAGAAAGTGAAAAAGACAACCTACAAAATGGGAGGAAACATTTTCAAATTATGTATCTGATTAAGGGTTTAATATCCAGAATATATTAAAAAACTCCTACAACTTAACAACAAAAAGACAAATAACCCAGTTTAAAATGGGCAAAGGATCTGAATAGACATTTCTCCAAAGAAGATATACAAATGGCCAATAAGGACATAGAAAAAATGCTCAGGACATGGAAAAAATGCTCAACATCATTAGTCACTAGAAAAATTCAAACTGAAACCACAATGAGATACCACTTCACACTTGCTAGGATGACTTTAAAAAGACGCACACACAAACAGAAAATAACAAGTGTTAGCAAAGGATGTGGAAAAATTGGAACCGTCATGCTTTCCTGGTGGGAATATAAAATGGTGTAACCATGTGGAAAACAGTTTGATGGTTCCTCTAAAGGCTAAACATAGGATTATTATGTGACAATAGTAACAATTCTGCTTCAGGTCTATGCCTCCAAAATTGAAAATAGGAACTTAGATACTTGTATGCCAATGTTCATTACACCAATTATTCAGTTAGCCAAAAGGAGGAAATAACCCAAATACCATCAATAAAATGTGGTGTAAACATACAATGGAATATTACTTAGCCATAAAAAGGAATGAAGTTATGATATATGCTTTTACATGGATGAACCTAGAAAACATTTTGCTAAGTGAAAGAAGCCAGACACAGAAGGAAAAATATTGTATAATTCCACCTATATGAGATATTTAGAATGGGCAAAATCACAAATACAAAAAATAGGTTAGAGGTTACCAGTAGCTGGAGGAAAAACAGATTAGAGGTTACCAGTAGCTAGAGAAAAAAGAGAATAAGTAGTTGTTGCTTAATGGTTACAGTTTCTGTTTGGGATGATAAAAGTTTTGGAAATATAGGTGAGGGTTATACAACAGTGTGAATGTAAATAATGCTAATAAATTGTACACTTAAAAATGGTTAAAAAGGCAAATTTATATTTAACCACAGTGTTTTAAAGTGTGAAAAAAATTAATTATTGGAAGATCTATATCACTGAGCTAACTAATATTTTCACATGACCAATGAACAATGTTATAAAACCATGCATGGATGAGAGATATGTAAAGTTAAGACAAACCAATAGATTTTAATGTAATAGCATGAAAACTCAAGAAACTACTACTTGTCAGTATCAGGAGTATCTATGAGTATCTGAGAAGGCAATTGAAATCCTCCTCCTTTTCCTAACTACATACAGGAGGAGTATTTCCATTGCTTTCTCAGTTAAGTACGGATATTCTTGATACTTTAGCCAAAATAACATATAATAACAAACTGAATGTAGAAGCAGATATGCACTTATCTCACTAAATACTGTTAGTTTTGGAAAGTATAGTTGTTTTAAAAAAAACACCTCACATTAATAAGTAATGGGTTCATTTTAAATAAATATTTTAAAACTTTGAATTGGTATTTAGTAAATTTCAATAGATTTAGCACACATAAACCAAAGTATCTGGAATCCTCAATGTGTTTGAAGATTCCATTGGAGTCCTGAAACAAAGAGTCTGAAAATCACCAGCCTATGAATATATGTTTATTATCAATATTTGACTTCTTAAGAGAACTAAATACATTCTTTAGCCTGAGAATGTAAAGCAAGGAACAAAAAGGCCTAAAAATGTTTGCTTAACTATTAGTGACACCTAGTGGTCACTCAAATTACCAAGGGAAGAAAATGTTACCTTGTCATTTGAAGAAACTATAATTGAGAGCAAATTCAGAACAAACGTTTTGATTCTAAGCAGTAGGCAAGACTGCTAACTGCAAAAATTATGTATAATGCCTTCTATGCATATTCAAGGCACTGAATTTCCTTACCTATTCTGATTATATATTTCTTTTTTCTTTTTTTTGAGATGGAGTTTCGCTCTTGTTGCCCAAGGCTGGAGTGCAATAGCGCAATCTTGGCTTACTGAAACCTTTGCCTCTTGGGTTCAAGTGATTCTCCTGCCTCAGCCTCCTGAGTAGCTGGGATTACAGGTGCCTGCCACCACACCTGGCTAATTTTTTTGTATTTTTAGTAGAGACAGGGTTTCACCGTGTTGGCCAGTCTGGTCTCAAACTCCTGACATCAGGCGATCCACCCTCCTCAGCCTCCCAAAGTGCTGGGATTGCAGGCATGAGCCACCATGCCCAGCCTGATGTATATATTTCTAAACAACCATTTACAAATAGCTTTATTTTTTATTATTATTTTTTTAAGCTATGGGGTCTCGCTATGTTGTCTAGGTTGGTCTTGAACTCCTGGGATCAAGCAATCCTTTCTCCTGAGCCTCCCAAGTAGCTGGGTGTGTAGATGTGCACCACTGCACTTGCCCACAAATAGCATTTACAAACAGTACATTTAGACTGGGCACAGTGGCTTATGCCTATAATCCCAGCACTTTGGGAGGCCGAAGTGGGAGGATTGCTTGAGCCCAGGAGTTTGAGATCGGCCTGGGCAACACAGTGAGACCCTGTGTCTACAAAGATTAAAATTTAAAAATTAGCTGGGTGTGGTGGTGCCCACCTGTAGTCCCAGCTACTCAGGAGGCTGAGGTGGGAGGATCACTTGAGCCTGGGAGGTCGAGGCTACAGTGAGTCATGAGTGCACCACTGCAGTCCAGCCTAGACAACAGAGTAGACCTTGACTCAAAAAATAAAAAATAAAAACGGTAAATTTAAAGTAGACTTCAGCACTGAAGAATTTTTTTTATTATGGTTCTATTTCTAATCAGATAATTTCTAAGATAATCTCTCAAGCAATGATACTTGTAATGTCAGAAACCATCCTGGACATCAACTTCAACCATAGCCCCAACAACTAATTCACCATTCAAGTTCTGCCAAAATTACATCCTGAATATCTCAAAACTGTCCCCTCATCTCCATCCCTGCTGCCACTACTTAGGTTCAGACTCAATTTATGCCTGAATTATGTCTTGTAATTCAAATTTAAATTTCACCATATTGTTTCCCCCTTATAAATCCCTCTAAGGACTTTCATTTGTTTACAGGATCACAAGCTTTTTAGCTTTATTATGGCATACAAGGTCTTTCATCATCCCTTCCTCTTTTCTTAAATTCTACTTTATGTTCTAGAAAAATAGGGGCCAGCAACCTTTTTCTGTAAAGGGCTATAGGTAAATATTTTAGATTTTGTCATATGGTCTCTGTAGAACTACTCAAATCTGCCACTGTAGTGGGAAAGCAACTGTATGGAAATATGCAAATGAATCTATGCGGCTGTGTTCCAATAAAACTATAAAAACAGGCTGAGGGTCAGATTCAGTCTGCAAGACATTTGGCAACCTCTGTACTACACTACTAAACCACCTGAAATTTCTTACATATATTGTACACCATGCTTTGTGTGCTGGTATATTCTTATGTATTACAACTATCTCAGTTTTAATTTCTAATATAGTAAATATCAATAGATATACCTACATAAATGCATTTTAGGATCCTCAATAATTTTTAAGAATGTAAAATGGTTCTAAGATCAAGAAGTTTGATAACAAATTATTTCAACCTTTACATTTTATAAAACAAGAAAACTAAGAGAGGATATCCTACCTTCGTTATAGGTACATGATTAGCTAGTGGCAGATATATAGTAGTAAGCATTTATTAAATAATGTAGTGGCATACGTTATTAAATATATTACTATATTATAATTTGAGTGCCCCTTTCCTAGGCTTAGTTATTCTTTTCTTCTAGCATAAACTTAGACTCAAATGTTTATGCTAGGTGGGGCGCAGTGGCTCATGCCCGTAATCCCAGCACTTTGGGAGGCTAAGGCAGGAGGACTGCTTAAGCCCAGGAGTTTGAGACCATCCTGGGTGACAAAGCAAGAGCCCATATCTTAAAAAGAAACATTAGCTGGGCATGGTGGTGCACACCTATAGTCCCAGCTACTTTGGAGGCTGAGGTAGGAGAGTTACGAGCCCAGGTGTTCGAGGCTGCAGTGAGCTAGGATCATGCCATTGCACTTCAGCCTGGGCGACAGAATGAAACCTTGTCTCAAAAAAAAAAAAAGTTTAGAACTAGATGATTCTTAGTAATCATCTGATCTAACCTCCATCTTATCCAGAGTTGAGATAACTGGCATTACTAAGGTAAGTTCTGCCTTTTCTATTTACAAGGCTGCATGTGTGGGCCAACTGTGCTTCAGTTGGTATGTTCAGGGAATGTGAACTTACTTTCATAAAAACCTAAACAGAATTTATTAGGTAGATAAATTCCCTGAAAAGTAAATACATTTTGAATTGTCAGCATCCTGCTCCTCACCACTCATGTAGATAATCTAAAGTTATCAGGGTAGCCATTTCACGGAAAACTCACCCTCATCGTCACTACTACTAGTATGGATCTCAGGAGATGAGTCAGATTGGGATGATGAAAATTCTTCTTTCCATTTTTTCCGTTTCTTTGGTGGTGGCTCAGCCTTTACTTTTGGCTGTTTAACTTTGGGTTTCACGGAAGGGGCTTTTGTAGTTGTAGTTTTTGATGCTAGAGGATCAGAAGTTTTACTGCTACTACTTGGCTTAGCTTGAACAGTTCTGCAATGTTATAAACAAACTTCATTAACACACTGAAATCTTGTTAAACTAAAATAAAATAGAAAAATAAAAGAGAATCACAGGAGAAGATTATCTAATTACTCTCACCAATACCTTCAAAATATACAGTCCAAGTCCTATATACATCTCAATGGTGATTCCCATAAAATTTTCTTAAAATACATTCTTTTCACCAGAAGCATTCAATATTCAGTTATTAAGGGACTTTTAGTTCAGTCCTTATTTCTACTTCTTCATTGCCCTCCTTGATTTATGGACTTATTTCCCAGAGACTATGAGGCTGTACAACAGATGATCAGTGGGCTTAGGAAGGTAATGAATGTTATAACCGTAATTGCCATATCTAGCTCTGACCCTAAGAAACTCTCACAGGCTCTGGTGGTGTCAGGTTTTGATGTAGAAACCCAAATGCGGCGCGGTGGCTCATGCCTGTAATCCTAGCACTTTGGGAGGCTGAGGTGGGTGGATCACTTGAGGTCAGGAGTTCAAGACCAGCCTGGCCAACATAGTGAAACCCCATCTCTACTAAAAATACAAAACCAGCTGGGAGTGGTGGCGGGCGCCTGTAGTCCCAGCTACTCGGGAGGCTGAGGCAGGAGAATCGCTTGAACCCGGGAGGTGGAGGTTGCAGTGAGCCAAGATCACGCCGCTGCACTCCAGCCTGGGCGACAGAGCAAGACTCTATCTCAAAAAAAAGAAAAAAAAAAAAAAAAGAAAAAAAAAGAAAAAAAAGAAAAACCCAAATGCATCTGTCCTAGAGTCCCTCGAGATTTGCTGTATGCCAGCTGGGTATGGTGGCTCATGCCTGTAATCCCAGCATTTTGGGAGGCTGAGGCAGGCAAATTGCTTGAGCCCAAGAGTTCAAGACCAGCCTGAGCAACATGGTAAAATCCCATCCCTATAAAAATTAGCTGGGCACAGTGGTGCACACCTGTAGTCCCAGCTACTTGGGAAGTTGAGGCAGGAGGATCACCTGAGCCTGGGAGGTCGAGGCTGCAGTGCCGTGATCATGCCACTACACTGCAGCCTTAGTGACAGGGTGAGACCCTGTCTCAAATAAAAAAGATTTGCTCTCTTCCAGGTCTGAAGATTTGAGTGGATAAAATTCCATCATAAAAATAAGGTAAGCTGCTTCCAGTAGGTGGGAATGTTAATGAAACTGGACCTACTTGGCACTGGAGTAAGAACATCTACGGTCATACCTGCTTCTCATGCAGACCACAGGGTCAAGTCAGTTATCTTCCAGATTCATGCTCCAGACAACCCAGAGTCACATTAATACACAATAATAATTCTACTGTGTACACTTGTACAGTAATGTAGTTCTTATAGTTTTTTTATCAATAATTATTTTAAATTTAATTTACTTCATTATATTATTTACATTTTATAGATGAAAAAGGGAGCTTCAGGAAAGCTGTCTTCTCTAAGTCACATAAAGCTGGACTCAAACTTTTTGCCTCTACAATTTTTTTTCACAATACTGGGATGACACCAAAAGGACTTAGGGAAAAGAAAAGGGCACCCACCCACCACAGATAGCCATGAGCTTTACAGTGCCCATCTCATGCCTTCAAAAGAATCACTTATTTCATCAGGCACTGAAATTTTTTGACTTGTGTATAATAAAAAAAATCTATTTAATTGATATGCTCCTTTGTACATTGGTATCATCAATAATACACCTATATATATGCACAAATATATCACCTAAGAAAACAAATACCTGATAGTTTGTGAAGGTTTATTTCTTGGCTTTTTAGAACACACTCTGACATATTCCTTCTTGTTTGCATTTTCAATGAACTTCACATATATTCTTTTGTATTTACTCTTTGCATCTCCAAAATATCCAAGATACTGAGGAAGGAAACACTTTGAGTTACATAATTGAACAATCTAGATACAAATGCTACTTTGTTTGTTCAATTGACTATCCCATAGCCAACCTTCAAGTTTTCTAAAATGCAGCTCTGGCCAGGCTAATTTTACCCTCAAAAACTGATCCCAGGCTCATTATTGATTTCATATGTACAAGCAATCTCATTTGGCATATTCTTACTTCCAGCTACATTAAGTATGACAGAATAACTTCCATCAGTCTTCTGGTAAATCAGGATATTTGACTAGTAGAATAATCAATATAAAGGAGCCTCTGAGTCAATCTGAACTCTTCATAGGCTAACATTAATCCCTTTCCTTTATTAAAAAAAAAAGTTAAACAATAGTACAAGGTCATTTAATTTTAAATAGCTGATATTTAACAAATGACTTTATTTTTATATTAGACTATCAAAGAGCATCAATATTCTAGTTCAAATTATATGCTACTTTATATCAAAAATATTCAATATAAAATACTTCTATATTTAAATCATTGTTTTTCTCAGGACCACTGTCAAAATAAGGCTAATGTAAACATGCATTTTACTTACACTATTTGTAGCAGCAAATTCTCTTTGACCATCTCGAATTTCAGGAACAAATTTCTGTAATAAAGCTTTTTGTACTTTCCAAATAGCTGGAGGTTCTTTTCCTGTTTTTAAAGCCTCCTGTAATAACCAGAATTAATGATACTTACAAAACACAGCAACATATTTTAGATCTTAGAATATTAGAGATGAAAGGAATCTGAAAGGCCTACCCTAGCTCAACCTTTTATCTCACCTCTCTATCTGATATTCTGCAATAATTCTTATAAGCTGGTTAGGTTATTCAGTCTCTGCTTAAATTATTCCAGAAATAGGGAGTTCATTAGCACACAAAGTAGCCCATTACCCATTTGTGCAGCTAAAACTATTGGAAAGTTTTCTGCTAATGACACTGTCCTATGTTACATATGCAATTTTATAACTATGTATATATACATATCTTAAAAGACCATAAACAAATACATTAAAATATTAAAAGTAGTTAACTGTGAATAGTGAGAATACAGACACTTGAATGTTGGATTCTTCACTGCACTTTTTAACGTCATTCCCATGTTTTTTAAAAAGGCAAAAGTGGCTGTATGCAGTGGCTCATGCCACTGCATGAGGATTACATGCCTGTAATCCCAGCACTTTGGGAGGCCAAGATGGGAGGACTGCTTGAGGCCAAGAGTTTGAGACCAGCCTGGTCAACATAGCATGATCCCATCTCTATTTTAAAAAATACATAAAAAGGCAAAAAAGCAAAGCAAGCAAACAGAAACCCCAAAATATGTTATTTTAAACACAGCTACAACTTTCTTACATAAAATTATTACATTCTCTTCATGGTTATACAACTTGAAATTATGAAATTAAATCTAATTCTACTTTTACATGATAGTTCTCTGTTATTTTTGTTTAAACTTTTAAATTATATAAATAACGATTTTCTCCAAACTACTAATAATGAATTGGGAACCTTGAAAAAAGTCAACATTTTAAAACTACTATAATTACTAATACTGAAATGCAACTGACTACATTTGTACAGAAATACGTACAACTAAGTTAAGGTTAAAATTATCTTCAATGATATCTGACATCTACTCTTAATATTTTGATTTTATCAAACACTTATAATGCATAAAACTTCCCATAATTCAAAGTAGATGCATGCTATTGAAGTCATAATGAAGGCTATCGCAGGCACACTAACTAAACTATGACCTTTACACTGGTGAACACTGACATCACCTTAAAAGTCTCTATGTCTTCTATCTTTACCACAAATTCATCACGCTCTCTGTATTGGCCTTCTCCTCCGCTTTCTGTGTCCTCCTCATCTGTAAAACCTTCTATGGCAACAGTGTCCTGTCCTTTTGCAAACTGGTCTGAAGGAAGACCATCAAGTTCAATGGGCTTTGAGGATTCTGAAGAGCTTATATTTTCCAGAATATTTACTGCATATGAAGTAGAGTGGAGAGGTTCTTGCTTAACTGCACCCACAGTGGTTGAGGAAGTAGTAGCAGTACCAGTAGTATTGGCAGTTGGGCTAGTAGTTGCCACCTGTAGGGCTTCTGAAACAAAACCAAGCAAATGCAAATCAGTATTACAAATATTTAAACACTTGTTTTGTGTAAAACTCAAAACAGTTTAAAAAGAAAGACTTGATTATTTTGTAATCAAACTGGTTGAAACAAAACCACAGGAAGAAATTAGACAACAGATGTTAATTTCCAAGAATCAAAGATGTGAGAATTAAGTCTAGATGACAAGTAGACTGCAAACCTGCAACTATCTACCTATCCTCCCGCTGCCAATTCCATGTAAGTAGAGCAAAATTATTTTTAAAAGAAGAGGCTGGGTACAGTGGCTCACACCTGTAGTCCCAGCCCTATTAAAAAAATAAAAAATTAGCCGAGCATAGTGTTGTGTGCCTGTAGTCTCAGCTAATCAGGAGGATGAGATGCGAAAATTGCTTGGGCCCAGGAGTTCAAGGGTTACAGTGAGCTATGATAGTGCCACTGCACTCCAGCCTGGGTGACAGAACAAGACCCTACTTAAAAAAATAATAATAATAAAAATAAAGACATGAAAGTGATAGAAGATAAGGAAGGGTCGGCCAACCAAAACTGTGACTCTTCATAGAAGATGAAAAACCAAATACATGTGGGAAAAAAAAAAACCCAAAACATTCTGAAACAGCACTAGAAGCTATCAAAATTAAAATGATTATAAAGTAATACTATGAAAAACTGTATGCCAACAAATTAAATAACTTAAGATGAAATGGATAAATTCCTAGAAAGACACAAAATACTAAAAAAGATTGGGGCCATGCACGGTGGCTCACACCTGTAATCCCAGCACTTTGGGAGGCCAAGGCGGGCAGATCACGAGGTCAGGAGTTTGAGACCAGCCTGACCAACATGGTGAAACCCTGTCTCTACTAAAAATACAAAAATTAGCTGGGCGTGGTGGTGCGCGCCTTTAATCCCCGCTACTCAGGAGGGTGAGGCAGGAGAATAGCTTGAACCTGGGAGGCAGAGATTGCAGTGAGCCAAGACTGTGCCACTGCACTACAGCGTGGGCAAAAGAGACTCTGTCTCAAGGAAAAAAAAAAAAAAAAAGACTTGGGAAGAAATAGAAAATCTGAATACCCCAATACAAAGTAAAAAAAAAAAAAGTAATTTTAAAACATCCCACAAAGAAAAGCACAGGCCCATATGGCTTCACTGGATAATTCTATCAACAATTAAAGAAGATATCAATCTTTTATAAACTCCAAACAATAGGAGGAAACACTTCCCAACTCATTCTGTGAGGCCAGTATTATTCCAATACCAAAACCAGACAAAAACAGCATGAGAAAACTATAGACTAATATCCCTTAGTATATAAATACAAAAACCCACAATGAAATACTAGCAAATCCACCAACATACAAAAAGAATCATACAATATGACCACGTGGGATTTATCTTAGGAATGCAAAGTTAATTTAACACCTGAAAATCAATGTAATACACTGTGTTAATAGAAAACAGCATAGGAGCACAGGATCATTTCAATAGGTGAAGAAAAAGCATCTGACAAAATGTAATGCCCTTTTATGATAAAAACATTCAACAGCCTGGGAACTTCCCCAGCTTTACAGAGGACATTTAGAAAAAATCAGTAACTAACATCATACTTAGTGGTGAAAACTGTATATGCTTTCCTCCTAAGAAGGATATCTGAAGAAGCAAAGCTATATTTGCAGATGATATGATCTTGTATATAGAAAATCCCAAGGCCTGGGCGCAGTGGCTCACGCCTGTAATCCCAGCACTTTGGGAGGCTGAGGCGGGCGGATGACCTGAGATCAGGAGTTCGAGACCAGCCTGGCCAACATGGTGAAACCCCATCTCTACTAAAAATACAAAAAAATTAGCCAGGCATGGTGGTACACACCTGCAATCCCAGCAACTTGGGAGGCTGAGGCAGGAGAATTGCTTGAATCTGGGAGGCGGAGGTTGCAGTGAGCCACGATCTCACCACTGCACTCCATCCTGGGCAACAAGAGCGAAATTCCATCTCAAAAAAAAAAAAAAAATCCCAAGGAATATACTAAAAAACTATTAGAACTAAAAAATGAGTTCAGCAAGATTGCAGGGTACAAGACCAATATATAAAAATCACATGTATTTCTATACATTTGCAGTGAACAACCCAAAAAATAAAATTAAGAACACAATTCCATTTCTAATAGCATCAAAAGTAATATTTAGGAATAAATTTAACAAAAGAACTGCAAACTTACATTGTAAAAACTATAAAAACACTGTTCAAAGAAATCATAGAAGATCTGTATAACTGGAAAAACATCCCATGTTGATGGATGAGAAGACGCAACACTGTTAAGATGGCAGTGTTCCCCAAACTGACCTATGGAATCAACCCAATTCCTATAAAAATCTGAGCTTCATTTTTTACAAAAATTGACAAATTGTTCCTAAAATTCATATGGAAGTGAAAGGGACCCAGAATAGCCAAAATGATCTTGAAAAAAGAACAAAGTTGGCAGACTGACATTTCTCAATTTCAAAACTTACCATAAAGCTATAGAAATACAGACTGTGATACTGACACAGACATAGATACAAATCAATGGAATAGAATGAAAGTTCAGAAAGAAACTCCTATACTTATGAGCAAATGATTTTCAAAAAAGGTGCCAGAACCATTCAATAGAGAAAGAATAGTTAACCATCCTACTAGGATGATTATAATTAAAAATATAGACATTAACACATGTTAGCAAGAAAGTGGAATGAATGGAATCCTTATAGATCACTGATGAAAATGTAAAATGGTACAGCCACATTGGAAAATAGTTTGGCCATTCCTCTATTAACCATGCAGATATATGACTGAGGAATTCCACTTCTGGATGTGTACCCTAGAGATAATAAACATCCATACAAAAATCTGTAAATGAATGTTTACAGATTTATTCATGATAGCCAAAAACTCTATCAATGGATAACTGAATATACAAAATGTGGTATATCCATATTATTAGGGAATAAAAAGGAATCAGATACTGATACATGCTACAGCATAGATAAACCCTGAAAACATTATGCTAAATGAAAGAAGCCAGTTACAGAAGGTCACTTATTATAGGATTCCCTTTACATGAAACATCCCAAATAGGCAAATCTACAGAGAGAGAAAGATTTGTGGTTGCCTATAGCTGGGTGTGGGTATGGGAATGGACTCCTTAATGGATACAGGGTTTCTCTTTGAATGATACAAATGCTGCACAAGTCTATGAACCACTGAACTGTACACTTTAAATGGGTGGATGTTATTGTATATGAATTATAATTCAATAAAACTATTAAAAAATACTTCAAATACCACAGCTGATAGAGGAACTTTGGGCTAAGGAACAAATATAAATAACATGTAAAATTCCAGTGGTAAGTCTGAATAATACTGATGAACTAAAATAATCACATATACAACAATAAGTAAATAAAAATGGGAAAGCCAGGCCAGGCACAGTGGTTCATGCCTGTAATCCCAGCACTTTGGGAGGCCTGGGTGGGCAGATCACTTAAGGTCAGGAGTTCAAGACCAGCCTGGCCAGCATGGTAAAACCCCGTGTCCACTAAAATACAAAAATTAGCCAGGTGTGATGGCAGGGGTCTGTAATCTCAGCTACTCGGGAGGCTGAGGCAGGAGAATCGCTTGAACCTGGGAGGCGGAGGTTGCAGTGAGCCTAGATTGCAACACTGCACTCCAGTCTGGGTGACAGAGCAAGACTCCCTCTCAAAAAAAGAAAAAAAAAGGGAAGGCCAGTGATCCCCTTAATTGTACTAAGCTGTAGGCAGAAGGGGTGTTTGACCATAGGCTAAAATGCAAAAGCTGTACTCTGAAGAGAGTGAATTCTACTTGCCTAGAGTGGTGGAGGAGCTGAGAGAAAACCAAAGCAGGGCCTGAGGCAAATCCAGACTTCCAACACAGAAAAAGTGGAAATGCAGACTGGCAGGGGAAATCCATGAACTAAAGTGCTTGACAAATAAAGACCTCCTTGTTGCTACCAGCCAGCCTACCTGTTCTTGTCCCAAATTAAAGCTATTCTCATATATTTATACATTTCCCACTCAAGGGAAAAGACCTGTTGAGGAAATACAGATGAATATTCTAATCACGTTAGGAGCCCATACTATGTTATTTTATCCTAACATATTTCTATAATGCTATAGTTACATTGTCATACTTTTCTGTCACAAAAATATGTATGTAAATGGAAACTGATTTGTCTTGTAACTGAAGGCTCAAAATGTTAAACATTTCTAACATTATACAATTGCATAGTTGATCCAAATTATACTATCTTTTCACATTTTGACAAGTATTAAATGTAAAACTCATGCTTCTGTTGGACATGGCACTTAAAAATTATTCATACATGGATACATGGACAGTACTTATTGAGATAGATTTTACAACCAATTTTATTTGTCCTTCACTTTTATTGATATAAAAACTTAGAAACCATGTTCATATAAATAATGGGTAAATTAAGGAATAAAAGTGACTTTGTTATAGCAATGTCACTGACTTCTACAAATACTTTCTAAGTTATATGTCAAAACAAGTCACATAGTTATCTGTGAACAAAAACAGAGATGCTGCAGCAGACTCTGAGAAAAGGAAATACTAAAGGTATTTTAGTATTTAGTCTGCTTTAGTCAGATAATCCCAAGGAGAAGCTATGAGATACAAGAATGAATGAAGGGTAAACTGGGAAATATATAAGTAAATGTAAACAAATGACTATTTAAAAGACTATTAATGATGATAGAATTAAATATGTAGTAACAATAACATTTATGTCAGGAGGGGATTAAATGGAGCTCCAGTGTTAAAAAATCTGTATTATCCAGAAAAAGGAAGATATTGACAGATTTGGAGAAGCTAAAAGTGCATGTTGTAATTTCTATTGTAACCAGGAAAAGAAAAGAAATATTTCACCAAAATAATCAGGGAGTGGGCACCTAGATAAAGGTATGAATCAAGCAAGATGGACCACATGATTATTGAAATGGATGATGCCCCCAGAATTGGGTTTCATTATGCCAATCTCTGTACTTTTGTATATGTTTGAAAATTTCTATGAAAAAAGCAAAATTTTTTTAAAAAAAGAATGTATAACTTCTAGTAGAGGGAAAGTTCATCAATACTTTATTTATATGCCCTTTGTAGGAAGTTTTAAAACAAACCAAAGAATAGTTTTGTTTTGTTTTTTTAAGAGATAGCATCTAGCTCTGTCACCCAGGCTGGAGTGCAATGGTGTGATCCCAGCTCACTGCCCCCTCAAACTCCTGGGCTCACCCGATACTCCTGCCTCAGGCTCCACATTAGCTAGGACGACAGGCACATGCCAACATGCCCACCTAACTGTTTTTTTGTTTTTTGTAGAGATAGGCTCTCACTATGTTTCCCCAGCTAAAAAGTATAGTCTTTAGAGATGCATACATAGATGGTAAAATTATATTAAGTAAGGAAGTGATTACCATCCAAGTCAGTTAGTGATTTGCTCTAGAGGTTAAGAGTGAGTTTAATTTAATACTCAATTAATTTCGATATTTTCTTGCTTTCCAGTGAATGACATTTAACACTATAAATTTGCTTCTTCACATCACACTCTGGCCACATCCTATTAGTTTCAGTATACAGTGCTCCACTGTCCATTCCAATTAGTTTGTCATTTCAGTTTTGGTTTCCTTTTTAAGCCAAGAGTTATTTGGAAGGGTGAGTTTTTCTTTGTTCCTTTCTTTGTTCTTTCTAGAAACGGCTGCACTGTACCCAGGGAATACTGCTTGAATAATGTCTGCATTTTCAAATCTGTGGAAGTTTTGTTTTGTATTTTTCTTTATGCATGTTTGATTTTCACATGTGGGTTGTATTTCGCAAGAAAAAATGTTCCAAAAGAAAACATAGATATGGAAAAATACTAAAAAAATGCTAATAACAACATTAGTATGACAGTATTAAAAACAGAAATCATTAAGTGGGAAAAAGAGATTTTATTATGATAAAAGGAAATTTAACTGTAGTAAAATTTTATGCACTGAATTACATGGGTTCAAAATATCAAGTAAACAGTATTAGAAAAATAATATAACATAATGGAAAACTTTAACACACCTTTCTCAGGAATCAACAGATCAAGCAATCTAAAAACAAATAAGGGTAGAGAGGAGTTTTAAAACTTTTTATTATTATAAAATTTTAGACTACACAAAAGTAGAGAATACAAACCCTACTATAACCCAGCTGTAACAAGCACAAACATTTTGGTTCATCTGTTTAATCTATCCATCACTCCCTTTTATATTTGCTGGGCTATTTTAAGCCAAATTCCATACATGTCATTTATCTCCAAAATATACACACATATAAACATTTTCTTAAATAACCTAATATCATTTATTAAATAAAAAAGATATAAAGGATTTGAACACTATTAATGAAATCTATTAGTACTTAGTATTTATAAAAAGTGGAATATCTATAAAAATGGACCATTTACCAAACTACTAACAAAATTTCCATAAATTTCAAAATGTGAACATATTCCCTGAACACAATACAAAAGAGTCAAATTAATAATTAAAACAGGGGGAGGAGCCAAGATGGCCGAATAGGAACAGCTCCGGTCTACAGCTCCCAGCCTGAGCGACGCAGAAGACGGGTGATTTCTGCATTTCCATCTGAGGTACCGGGTTCATCTCACTAGGGAGTGCCAGACAGTGGGTGCAGGTCAGTGGGTGCACGCACCGTGCGCGAGCCAAAGCAGGGTGAGGCATTGCCTCACTCGGGAAGCGCAAGGGGTCAGGGAGTTCCCTTTCCTAATCAAAGAAAGGGGTGACGGACGGCACCTGGAAAATCAGGTCACTCCCACCCGAATACTGCACTTTTCTGACGGGCTTAAAAAACGGCGCACCACGAGATTATATCCCGCACCTGGCTTGGAGGGTCCTACCCCACGGAGTCTCGCTGATTGCTAGCACAGCAGTCTGAGATCAAACTGCAAGGTGGCAGCGAGGCTGGGGTAGGGGCGCCCACCATTGCCCAGGCTTGCTTAGGTAAACAAAGCAGCCGGGAAGCTTGAACTGGGTGGAGCCCACCACAGCTCAAGGAGGCCTGCCTGCCTCTGTAGGCTCCACCTCTGGGGGCAGGGTACAGACAAACAAAAAGACAGCAGTAACCTCTGCAGACTTAAATGTCCCTGTCTGACAGCTTTGAAGAGAGCAGTGGTTCTCCCAGTACGCAGCTGGAGATCTGAGAACGGGCAGACTGCCTCCTAAAGTGGGTCACTGAACCCCGAGCAGCCTAACTGGGAGGCACCCTCCAGCAGGGGCACCCTGACACCTCACACTGCAGGGTACTCCAACAGACCTGCAGCTGAGGGTCCTGTCTGTTAGAAGGAAAACTAACAAACAGAAAGGACATCCACACCAAAAACCCATCTATACATCACCATCATCAAAGACCAAAAGTAGATAAAACCACAAAGATGGGGAAAAAGCAGAACAGAAAAACTGGAAACTCTAAAAATCAGAGCGTCTCTCCTCCTCCAAAGGAACGCTGCTCCTCACCAGTAAGGGAACAAAGCTGGACAGAGAATGACTTTGACGAGCTGAGAGAAGAAGGCTTCAGACGATCAAATTACTCTGAGCTACGGGAGGACATTCAAACCAAAGGCAAAGAAGTTGAAAACTTTGAAGAAAATTTAGAAGAATGTATAACTAGAATAACCAATACAGAGAAGTGCTTAAAGGAGCTGACGGAGCTGAAAACCAAGGCTCGAGAACTACGTGAAGAATGCAGAAGCCTCAGGAGCCGATGCGATCAACTGGAAGAAAGGGTATCAGCAATGGAAGATGAAATGAATGAAATGAAGCGAGAAGGAAAGTTTAGAGAAAAAAGAATAAAAAGAAACGAGCAAAGCCTCCAAGAAATATGGGACTATGTGAAAAGACCAAATCTACGTCTGATTGGTGTACCTGAAAGTGATGGGGAGAATGGAACCAAGTTGGAAAACACTCTGCAGGGTATTATCCAGGAGAATTTCCCCAATCTAGCAAGGCAGGCCAACGTTCAGATTCAGGAAATACAGAGAACGCCACAAAGATACTCCTCGAGAAGAGCAACTCCAAGACACATAATTGTCAGATTCACCAAAGTTGAAATGAAGGAAAAAATGTTAAGGGCAGCCAGAGAGAAAGGTCGGGTTACCCTCAAAGGGAAGCCCATCAGACTAACAGCGGATCTCTCGGCAGAAACTCTACAGGCCAGAAGAGAGTGGGGGCCAATATTCAACATTCTTAAAGAAAAGAATTTTCAACCCAGAATTTCATACCCAGCCAAACTAAGCTTCATAAGTGAAGGAGAAATAAAATACTTTACAGACAAGCAAATGCTGAGAGCTTTTGTCACCACCAGGCCTGCCCTAAAAGAGCTCCTGAAGGAAGCGCTAAACATGGAAAGGAACAACCGGTACCAGCCGCTGCAAAATCATGCCAAAATGTAAAGACCATCGAGACTGGGAAGAAACTGAATCAACTAACGAGCAAAATAACCAGCTAACATCATAATGACAGGATCAAATTCACACATAACACTATTAACTTTAAATGTAAATGGACTAAATGCTCCAATTAAAAGACACAGACTGGCAAATTGGATAAAGAGTCAAGACCCATCAGTGTGCTGTATTCAGGAAACCCATCTCACGTGCAGAGACACACATAGGCTCAAAATAAAAGGATGGAGGAAGATCTACCAAGCAAATGGAAAACAAAAAAAGGCAGGGGTTGCAATCCTAGTCTCTGATAAAACAGACTTTAAACCAACAAAGATCAAAAGAGACAAAGAAGGCCATTACGTAATGGTAAAGGGATCAATTCAACAAGAAGAGCTAACTATCCTAAATATATATGCACCCAATACAGGAGCACCCAGATTCATAAAGCAAGTCCTGAGTGACCTACAAAGAGACTTAGACTCCCACACATTAATAATGGGAGAATTTAACACCCCACTGTCAACATTAGACAGATCAACGAGACAGAAAGTCAACAAGGATACCCAGGAATTGAACTCAGCTCTGCACCAAGTGGACCTAATAGACATCTACAGAACTCTCCACCCCAAATCAACAGAATATACATTTTTTTCAGCACCACACCACACCTATTCCAAAATTGACCACATACTTGGAAGTAAAGCTCTCCTCAGCAAATGTAAAAGAACAGAAATTATAACAAACTATCTCTCAGACCACAGTGCAATCAAACTAGAACTCAGGTTTAAGAATCTCACTCAAAACCACTCAACTACATGGAAACTGAACAACCTGCTCCTGAATGACTACTGGGTACATAATGAAATGAAGGCAGAAATAAAGACGTTCTTTGAAACCAACGAGAACAAAGACACAACATACCAGAATCTCTGGGATGCATTCAAAGCAGTGTGTAGAGGGAAATTTATAGCACTAAATGCCCACAAGAGAAAGCAGGAAAGATCCAAAATTGACACCCTAACATCACAATTAAAAGAACTAGAAAAGCAAGAGCAAACACATTCAAAAGCTAGCAGAAGGCAAGAAATAACTAAAATCAGAGCAGAACTGAAGGAAATAGAGACACAAAAAACCCTTCAAAAAATTAATGAATCCAGGAGCTGGTTTTTTGAAAGGATCAACAAAATTGATAGACTGCTACCAAGACTAATTAAGAAAAAGAGAGAGAAGAATCAAATAGATGCAATAAAAAATGATAAAGGGGATATCACCACCAATCCCACAGAAATACAAACTACTATCAGAGAATACTACAAACACCTCTACGCAAATAAACTAGAAAATCTAGAAGAAATGGATAAATTCCTTGACACATACACTCTCCCAAGACTAAACCAGGAAGAAGTTGAATCTCTGAATAGACCAATAACAGGATCTGAAATTGTGGCAATAATCAATAGCTTACCAACCAAAAAGAGTCCAGGACCAGATGGATTCACAGCCGAATTCTACCAGAGGTACAAGGAGGAAACTGGTACCATTCCTTCTGAAACTATTGCAATCAATAGAAAAAGAGGGAATCCTCCCTAACTCATTTTATGAGGCCAGCATCATTCTGATACCAAAGCCAGGCAGAGACACAACCAAAAAAGAGAATTTTAGACCAATATCCTTGATGAACATTGATGCAAAAATCCTCAATAAAATACTGGCAAACCGAATCCAGCAGCATATCAAAAAGCTTATCCACCATGATCAAGTGGGCTTCATCCCTGGGATGCAAGGCTGGTTCAATATACGCAAATCAATAAATGTAATCCAGCATATAAACAGAGCCAAAGACAAAAACCACATGATTATCTCAATAGATGCAGAAAAGGCCTTTGACAAAATTCAACAACGCTTCATGCTAAAAACCCTCAATAAATTAGGTATTGATGGGACATATTTCAAAATAATAAGAGCTATCTATGACAAACCCACAGCCAATATCATACTGAATGGGCAAAAACTGGAAGCATTCCCTTTGAAAACTGGCACAAGACAGGGATGCCCTCTCTCACCACTCCTATTCAACATAGTGTTGGAAGTTCTGGCCAGGGCAATTAGGCAGGAGAAGGAAATAAAGGGTATTGAATTAGGAAAAGAGGAAGTCAAATTGTCCCTGTTTGCAGATTACATGATTGTATATCTAGAAAACCCCATTGTCTCAGCCCAAAATCTCCTTAAGCTGATAAGCAACTTCAGCAAAGTCTCAGGATACAAAATCAATGTGCAAAAATCACAAGCATTCCTATACACCAACAACAGACAAACAGAGAGCCAAATCATGAGTGAACTCCCATTTACAATTGCTTCAAAGAGAATAAAATACCTAGGAATCCAACTTACAAGGGATGTCAAGGACCTCTTCAAGGAGAACTACAAACCGCTGCTCAATGAAATAAAAGAG
The DNA here is from genome assembly GCF_000001405.40 of Homo sapiens. Lineage (NCBI taxonomy): Eukaryota > Metazoa > Chordata > Mammalia > Primates > Hominidae > Homo > Homo sapiens. The sequence goes on along the minus strand of NC_000011.10, from coordinate 32,942,894 downwards.
GATACAAACAAATGGAAGAACATTCCATGCTCATGGGTAGGAAGAATCAATATTGTGAAAATGGCCATACTGCCCAAGGTAATTTACAGATTCAATGCCATCCCCATCAAGCTACCAATGCCTTTCTTCACAGAATTGGAAAAAACTACTTTAAAGTTCATATGGAACCAAAAAAGAGCCCGCATTGCCAAGATAATCCTAAGCCAAAAGAACAAAGCTGGAGGCATCACACTACCTGAGTTCAAACTATACTACAAGGCTACAGGAACCAAAACAGCATGGTACTGGTACCAAAACAGAGATATAGATCAATGGAACAGAACAGAGCCCTCAGAAATAATGCCGCACATCTACAACTATCTGATCTTTGACAAACCTGAGAAAAACAAGCAATGGGGAAAGGATTCCCTATTTAATAAATGGTGCTGGGAAAACTGGCTAGCCATATGTAGAAAGCTGAAACTGGATCCCTTCCTTACACCTTATACAAAAATCAATTCAAGATGGATTAAAGACTTAAACGTTAGACCTAAAACCATAAAAACCGTAGAAGAAAACCTAGGCATTACCATTCAGGACATAGGCATGGGCAAGGACTTCATGTCTAAAACACCAAAAGCAATGGCAACAAAAGACAAAATTGACAAATGGGATCTAATTAAACTAAAGAGCTTCTGCACAGCAAAAGAAACTACCATCACAGTGAACAGACAACCTACAAAATGGGAGAAAATTTTCGCAACCTACTCATCTGACAAAGGGCTAATATCCAGAATCTACAATGAACTCAAACAAATTTACAAGAAAAAAACAAACAACCCCATCAAAAAGTGGGCGAAGGACATGAACAGACACTTCTCAAAAGAAGACATTTATGCAGCCAAAAGACACATGAAAAAATGCTCACCATCACTGGCCATCAGAGAAATGCAAATCAAAACCACAATGAGATACCATCTGACACCAGTTAGAATGGCAATCATTAAAAAGTCAGGAAACAACAGGTGCTGGAGAGGATGTGGAGAAATAGGAACACTTTTACACTGTTGGTGGGACTGTAAACTAGTTCAACCATTGTGGAAGTCAGTGTGGCGATTGCTCAGGGATCTAGAACTAGAAATACCATTTGACCCAGCCATCCCATTACTGGGTATATACCCAAAGGGCTATAAATCATGCTGCTATAAAGACACATGCACATGTATGTTTATTGTGGCATTATTCAGAATGGCAAAGACTTGGAACCAACCCAAATGTCCTACAATGATAGACTGGATTAAGAAAATGTGGCACATATACACCATGGAATACTATGCAGCCACAAAAAATGATGAGTTCGTGTCCTTTGTAGGGACATGGATGAAATTGGAAATCATCATTCTCAGTAAACTATCGCAAGAACAAAAAACCAAACACCGCATATTCTCACTCATAGGTGGGAACTGAACAGTGAGATAACATGGACACAGGAAGGGGAACATCACACTCTGGGGACTGTTGTGGGGGGTGGAGGGGGGAGGGATAGCATTGGGAGATATACCTAATGCTAAATGACGAGTTAGTGGGTGCAGCACACCAGCATGGCACATGTATACGTATGTAACTAACCTGCACAATGTGCACATGTACCCTAAAACTTAAAGTATAATAATTAAAAATAATAATAATAATAATAATAATAAAAACAAAAACTACTAGGAAACAGACAAAGAACCCCTGACCATTCTTCATAAATCCTGGGCTAAAAAGGAAATCAAAACTGAAATAATAAGCCAGTTCGAAAAGAAAGTGAGAGCATTATAAACTGAAACCATGAGATATGGTCAAAGTGTGGTGCAAAGAAGAAAACTGACAGCTTAAATGCCATTCATTAGATAAAAAATACAAAAATAAACTAAGTATTAAACTCAAGAAGCCAGAAAGAGATGATCAAATTATACCCAAGGAATAAAGGGCAAAAGAATTAAGATAAAACCAGACATTAAGAAAAAAAAGTAAAAAATAACAGGAGCAAAAAAATAAAAGTAGTTTGGTTCTTTAAAAAGAACCATTTATTAGGCAAAAACCTTTCACAGACTGACAAGGAAAAAATGCAAATAATCATTTAGAGGAAGAAAGAGGGTATAACTACAGAGGTAGAAGAGACTAAAACTTAAGGATTACTATGGACAACTTTACAACAAAGTTTACAATCTAAATGAATGATTTTCCTAGAAAATGTAACTTTCTTAAATTGACCTAGACAGACCAAGCGACCTCAAGAAAAACTGGAAAGACAGTTAGTTAGATCTATTCTTAGAAAGTTTTATCAAATCCCTATTATGTATGATAAACTTTCAAAGCTAGGATGAACAGAAAAAAAACCTCCCAGTTTAATTTGTATGACCAACATAATCCTGAATACAAAAGTGAGTCAGATTAAGACAAAAAATACTATAAGCTAATCTCACTTATGAATCTAAGTGTAAAAATCTCAAATAAAATACTAGCAAGTTAAATCTTTCAACAGATTAAAATAATCTGTCATGACCAAGCAGGGATCATGATAGTCCCTAAGCAAAACTATACAACACAAAAGCAACAAAACTTCAAGAAAAACCCTAACTTTCTGGCCAGAGGAATGGGTAAAGAAGCCTTGTGCAAGGCTAACAGTAAGGGGAAAATCTGTTTCTTTTTTCTCTTTTTTGTTTCCAACTCTGTCCAGAGAGAGGCCCAAGTCACAGAGCTGAAATGCAGTAATAATGAATCAGAAATCTAAAATCCTAACAGAATGCTTGTCTTGTTGGCAAAAGGAACCTAGAAACAAGGCCCCTAAGGCATCAAGAGAATAGGGAGAATCCCTGTTCCTTCATTTCTTTCACTGCATTGCCCCAAGGGCAGTCCCAGTTGCAGAGAATTATGTCAAAGCCTGGGAAGATAAATCTCAAAAAAAAAAAAAAAAAAAAATCTCAGTCTTCTAGGCAACAGACTAGGAAAAGGGACCCTGGGATCTGGACAGTGTAGGGAAAAATCCCAGGGAAAAGGGAGCTGGAGAATGGGATCTTCTCATTCTATGTATGGACCCACACAAATCAGCGTTTCATACCTAGGATGCACAAGTGTAAGACAGACCAAAACTAGCAAAAGAAAGGCTTTGAGATCTGAACTACAACATAGTCTACAACCCACCCAAGTTCTAGGCTAACTGCTAAAACAGACCTACAACAGCAAAGCAAAAGCCTTGAAAACAGAACTGACACTGGAAACACCATTCACAAAAAGTAAGACAGAACTTATGTTCTGACTGCCTGCTAAAACAGAACAAAATAAATCAATATTCTTCAGAGGATGTTAATAGAACCTACAGTTTTACAATACAGTACTCAAAATGTCCAAGATAAAATCCAAAATTACTCAGTATACAAAGACCCAGAACATCCCAGAATGCCAAATAAATTTCAGAGACAAAGAACTAAAACAAACCTTAAAAAAAAATTAAAACCCAAATTTTAAGTTTTAAAAGATCTTCAAGGAGCCCAGAAAACTGATGGTGGTATTACACATTTTTTTAAGCTTTCAACACATTTCAGCCAAGTCCATTTTATCCAGAGATGCAAACAAAACTGAAGGGAAACACCACTTTTGGTTTCATTACATTCTTGAGATCTGGGTGCCTGTGAAGTAGGGGCTGAGTGCTGTTCGTCAGTTTGGCCTTCATTTTGAAAAAACATACCAGTCACTTTGAATGAAATCAAATTGTAACTAGACTATATAGCTCTAACATTCTACTTCCACTGACTTGATAATAGTAAATTACTTGATACAGATTCAGAAACATTTTAGTAGTGCAAAAACTAGTTTTATACTACATTTTAATTCAATCTGAAAGGAGTAAGGAATGGTGAAAATAGCACCTAACCCTAGTTTCAGGATTCAAAACTAGGGATGGGTTTTTATACTCCATTGGTCTTTTTAATGCAAATATAGAATTCAGAGTGTTAGACAACTGTGTACCATCTTGCCTAAAAGAGCCCAGGATTTAGTTTATGTTGATACAAGATACAGTTCCATTAGTTTTTTTTTTCTTAATCCAACTCCTATACTGCAAGTAAATATGTAAATAATTCT